>NC_000011.10:50516808-50669078 GCF_000001405.40 Homo sapiens
CTAGTTTTTATCTGAAGATATTTCCATTTGCACCATAGGCCACAATGTACTCACAAATATCCCTTCAAAGATTCTATTAAAAAAGTGCTTCCAAACTGCTCAATCAAAGGAAACTTTTAACTCTGTGGGATGAAAGCAAACATCACAGAGCAGGTTCTCAGAAATCTTCTTTCTAGTTTTTCCCTGAAGATATTTCCTTTTTCACCCTAGGCTCAATGTGCTCCCAAATATCCCTCTGCAGATTCTACAGAAACAGTGTTTCCAATATGCTGAATGAAAAGAGAGGTTGAAATCTGAGAAATGACTGCCGACATCAAAAAGCAGTTTCTGAGATTGCTTCCTTCTAGTTTTTATCCTGGGATATTAGCTTTTTCAGCACTGGCCTCAAAGAGCTCCCTAATATCCATTTGCAGAATGGACAAAAACAGTGTTTCCAAACCGCTGAATAAAAAGAAAGGTTTAACTCAGTGAGACAAATGCAAAAATCACAAAGTGGTTTCTCAGACAGCTGCCTTCAATTTTTTATCCTTGGATATATGCTTTTTTGCCATTGGCATCAAAGATCTCACAAATGTCCATTTGCAGAATGGACAAAAACAGTGTTTACTAACTGCTGAATCAAGAGTGAGGTTTTACAATCTGAGATCAATGCACATATCTCAAAGCAGTTTCCTAGAAAGCTTCTTTCCAGTTTTTGTCTTAAGATGTTTCCTTTTTCACCATAGGCCTTAATGAGCTCCCAAATATCCCTTAGCAGATGTGACAAAAACAGTGTTTCCAAACTGCCAAAGGAAAAGAAAGGTTTCACCCTGTCAGATGAATGCACATATCACAAAGCTGTTTCTCAGATACCTTCCTTCTAATTTTTATCCTGAGATATTCATTTTTTAGCTATTGGCCTCAATAAGCTCTCAAATGTCCATTTGAAGAATAGACAAATACAGAGTTTCCATACTGCTGAATCAGAAGAATGGTTTAAATCAGTGAGATGAATGCACACTTCACATATCAGTTTCTCAGAAAAATTCTTTCTGTTTTTTATGTGAAGATATTTCCTTTTTCACCATAGGCCTCAATGCACTCCAAAATATCCCTTCACAGATTCTACAAAAGCCAGATTTCCAAACTGCTGAATGAAAAGAAACTTTTAACTCTGTGAGGTGAATGCACACATCACAAAGCAGTTTCTCTGGTAGCTTCCTTCTAGTTTTTATCCTGGGATGTTCGCTTTTTCACCATTGGCTTCAATGAGCTCCCAAATGTCCATTCACAGAATGGACAAAAACAGTGTTTCCAAATTGGTGAATCAAAAGAAAGGTTTAACTCTGTGAGACGAATGCACATTTCAAAAAGCAGCTTCTCAGAAGGCTTCTTTCTAGTTTTTACCTGAAGATAATTCTTTTTTCACAAATGGCCTCAATGTGCTCCCAATATCCTTTCACAGATTCTACAAAAACTGTTTTCAAACTGCTGAATAAAAAGAAAGTTTTTACTCTCTGAGATGAATGCATACATGTCAAAGCAGTTTCCTGAAAAGCTTCTTTCCAGTTTTTGTCTTAAGGTGTTTCCTTTTTCAGCATAGGCCTCAATGGGCTCCCAAATATCCTTTAGTAGACACTACAAAAACAGTGTTTCCAAATGGTTAAATGAAAAGAAAGGTTTAAGACTGCGAGATGAAGGCACACATCACAAAGCTGTTTCTCAGATTGCTTCCTTCAAATATTTATCCTGGGATATTCACTTTTCGCTATTGCCCTCAATGAGCTCCTAAATGTCCATGTGAAGAATAAACAAAAACAGTGTTTCCAAACAGCTGAATCAAAAGAAAGTTTTAAATCTGTGAGATGAATGCGCATGTCACAAGGCAGTTTCTAAGAAAGCTTCCTTCTAGTTTTTATCTGAAGATATTTCCTTTTTCACCATAGGCCTCAATGGGCTCCCAAATATCCCTTGACAAATTCCACAAAAACAGTGTTTCCAAACTACTGAATGAAAAGAAAGGTTTAAATCTGCTAGATGAATATGCACATTACAAAACGTTTTCTCAGGTAGCTGCCTTCTGGTTTTTATCCTGGGATATTTCCTTTTATGCCACTGGTCCCAATGAACTCCCAAATGTCCATTTGCAGAATGGACAAAAACAGTGTTTCCAAACTGCTGAATCTAAAGAAAGTTTTAATTCTGTGAGATGAATGCACACATCACAAAGCGGTTTGTCAGATAGCTTCCTTGTAGTTTTTACTTGAAGATAATTCCTTTTTTACCATATGCCTCAATGTGCTCCAAAATATCCCTTTTCAGATTCTACAAAACAGTGTCCCCAAATTGCTGCATGAAAAGAAATGTTTAACTCTATGAGATGAATGAAATCATCAGAAACCAGTTTCTCAAAAGTTTCTTTCTACGTTTATCTGAAGATGTTTCATTTTTGAACACAGGCCTCTATGCTGTGCCAAGTTTTCCTTTGCAGATTCTAGAAACACAGTGTTTCTAAACGGATGAATGAAAAGAAAAGTTTAAGTCTGTGAGATGAATGCACTCATTGCAAAGCGGTTCATCAGATAGCTTTCTTCTGGTTTTTATCCTGGGATATTTGCTTTTTCACCATTGCCCACAAAGAGCTATCAAATATCCCTTCGCAGATACTTCAAAAACAGTGTTTCCAAACTGCTGAATGGAAAGAAAGGTTTGACTGTATGAGATGAATGCACACATCACAAAGCAGTTTCTCTGAAATCTTCTTTCCAGTTTTTATCTGAAAATATTTCCTTTTTCACCATAATCCTCAATTCAGTCACAAATATCCCTTCGCAGATCCTAAAAAAAACAGCGTTTCCAAACTATTATATGAAAAGAAAGATTTAGCTCTAACTCTGTGACATGAATGCACACACCACAAAGCAGTTTCTCATGTAGAGTGCTTCTAGTTTTTATCCTGGGTTATGCACCTTTTTGCCAATGGACTCTAAGAGGTCCCAAATATCCATTTGCAGAATGGAAAAAAACAGTGTTTTGAAACTGCTGAATAAAAGAAAGGTTCAACTCTGTGAGATGAATGTACATATCTCAAACCAGTTTCTTAGAAATATTCCTCCCAGTTTTTATCTTAGGATGTTTCCTTTTTCCCCATAGACCTCAATGAGCACCAAAATTTCCATTCACAGATTCTACAAAAACAGTATTTCCAAAGTGCTGAAAGAAAAGAAAGATTTAAGTCTATGAGATGAATGCACACATCACAAATTAGTTTCTCAGAAACATTCTTATTTTTATCTGAATATATTTCTCCTTCACCATTGGCCTCAATGTGCTTGGAAATAACCCTTCTCGGATTCTACAAAACAGTGTTTCCAAAATGATGAGTTAAAAGTGTTTCCAAAATGCTGAATGAAAAGAAAAGTTCAACTCTGCAGTACAATCACTCTGCAGTACAATCAATCTGCAGTACAATCAACTCTGCAGTACAATCACAAATCGGTTTCTCAGATGGCTTCCTTCTAGTTTCTTTAATGGGATATTTGATTTTTGTCCATTAGCAGAATGGACAATAACAGTGTTTCCAAACTGCTGAATCAAAAGAAAGGTTTAGCTTTGTTAAATGAATACTCATCTTACAAAGCAGTTTGTCAGAAAGCTTCTTTCTAGTTTTTATCTGGAGGTATTTCCTTTTTCACCAAAGCCCTCAATGTGCTCCACAATATCAATTGGCAGATTGTACAAAAGCTGTGTTCTGAATCTGCTGAATGAAAAGAAAGGTTTAACTCTGTGAAATCAATGCAGACATCACACAGTGGTTTCTCGGATACATTCCTTCTAGTTTTTATCCTGGGATACTCCTTTTTCTCCATTGGCCTCAATGAACTCCCAAATGTCCATTTGCAGAATGAACAAAAACAATTTTTCCAAACTGTGAACCAAAAGAAAGTTTTAACACTGTGAGATGAATGCATATATCACAAGCAGTTTCTCAGTAAGCTTCTTTCTCGTTTTTATCTGAAGATAATTTTCTTTTTCAATATAGGCCTCAATTTGCTCCTAAATACACCTTCACAGATTCTACAAAAACAGTGTTTCCACTTTGCTGTATCAAAAGAAAGTTTTAACTCTCTTAGATGAATGCTCACATCACAAAGCAGTTTCTCAGAAAGCTTCTTTCTAGTTTTTATCTGAACATATTTTGTTTTTCACCCTAGTCCTCAATTTGCTCACAAATATCCATTGACTGAATGGACAAAAACAGTAATTCCAAACTACTGAATCCAAAGAAATGTTTCACTATGTGAGACGAATGCACACATCTCTAAGCAGTTTATTAGAAAGCTTCTTTCTAGTTTTTATCTGTAGATGTTTCCTTTTTCACCATAGGACTCAAGGAACACCCAACGATCCCTTCACAGGTTCTAAAAAGAGAGGCTTCCCAGTATGCTGAATGAAAAGTGACTTTTAACTCTAAGATGAATGCACACATCAGAAAGAAGTTTGTCAGATAGCTTTCTTCTAGTTTTCGTCCTGGGATATTCTCATATTCACCATTGGTCTCAATGAGCTCCCACATGTTCAATTGCAGAAGGGAAAAAAACAGTGCTTCCATACTGCTGAACCTAAAGGAATCTTTAACTCAGTGAGATGAATGCCCACACCCAAATGCAGTTTCCAGGAATGAGTCTTTCTAGTTTTAATCTGACGATATTTTCTTCTTCATGATAGGCCTGAATGCACTCCAAATATCCTTTTGCAGATTCTTCAAAAACAGTGATTGCAAACTGCTGAATGAAAAGAAAGGCTTAACTCTGCTAAATGAATGCACACATCACAAAGCCGTTTCTGAGATAGCTTCATTCTAGTTTTTATCCTGAGATATTTGCTTTTTCACCATTTGTGTCAATGAACGCCCAGATGTCCATTAGCAGAATGGAAAAAAACAGTGTTTCCAAACTACTGAATCAAAAGAAATGTTTAACTCTGTGAGATGAATGCACAAATCACAAAGCAGTTTCTGAGAAATCTTTCCACGTTTTACTGGAAAATATTTTCTTTTTCACCATAGTCCACAAGGCACTCCCAAACATGCCTTTGAAGATCCTACAAAAACAGTGTTTCCAAACTGATGAATCAAAAGAAAGTTTAATTCTGTGAGTTGAAAACACACATCACAAAGCAGCTTCTCACAATGCTTCTTTGTAGTTTTTCTCTGAAGATATTTTCTTTTTCACCATAGGCCTCAATGCACTCCCAAATATCCCTTCACAGATACTACAAAAACAGTGTTTCCAAACTGCTGAATGAAAAGAAAGGTTTAACTTGGTGAGATGAATGCACACATGACAAGCAGTTTCTCAGATGTCTTCCTTACAGTTTTTATCCTGGAATATTTGCTTTTTCACCCTTGGTTTTAATGATCTCCCAACTGTCCATTCACAGAATGGACAAAAACAGAGTTTCAAAACTGCTGAACGAAAAGAAATGTTTAACTCTGTGAGATGAATGCACACATCACAAAGTGGTTTCACAGATAGCTTCTTTCTAGGTTTATCCTGGGATATTTGCAGTTTCTGAGGAACTGCTTTGTGATGTGTGCATTCATCTCACATAATTAAAACTTTCTTTTGATTCAACAGTTTGCAAACACTGTTTTTGACCATTCAGCAAATGGAAACTTGGGAGGCCAAGGCAAAAAAGCAAATACCCCATTATGAACACTACAATGAAGCTACATGAGAAACCATTTTGTGATGTGTGCATTAATCTCACACGTTGAAACCTTTAATTTCATTCAACAGTATAAAAACACTGTTTTTTTTTCCATTCTGCCTGTAGACATATAGGAGCTCATTGAGGCCAATGGCGAAAATGTGAATATCACAGGATAAAAGCTAAAAGGAATCTCTGAGAAACTGTTTTGTAATGTGTGCATTCATCTCACAGAGTTAAATGTTTCTTTCCATCCAGCAGTTTGGAAACACTGTTTTTTTAGAATCTGCAAAGGCGTGTTTGAGACTGCTTTGAGGCCTATCCTGAATAAGAAAATACATTCAGATGAAAACTAGAATGAAAGTTTTTAAGTATCTGCAATATAATGTGTCCATTCAGCTCCCAGAGTGAAACCTTTCTTTTGATTCAGCAGTTTGTAAGCACTCTTTTTGTCCATTCAGTGAATGAACATTTGGGAGCTTATTGAGGCCAATGGTGAAAAATCAGATATTCCAGGATAAAATCTATAAGAAAGCCATCTAAGAAACTACTTTGTGATGTGTGCATTCATCTGCATAGTTTACCTTTCTCTTCATTCAGCAGTTTGGAAACACTGTTTTCATAGAATCTGTAAAGTGATATTTAGGAATGCACTGAAGCTTATGGTGAAGAAGGAAACATATTCAGGTAAAAACTAGAAAGAAGCTATCTGAGAAATTGCTTTGTGTTGTGTGCATTCATCTCACAGAATTAAACAGTTCTTTGGATTCAGAGTTTAGAAACTTTGTTTTTGTCCATTCTGCTAATGAACATTTGATAACTCACTGAGGCCAATGGCAAAAAGGTGAATATCCCAGGATAAAAACCAGAAGGAAGCTGCATGAGAAACTGATTTGTGATATGTGCATTCATCTCGAAGAGTTAAACCTTTATTTTTGTTCAGCAGTTTGCAAACATTGGTTTTGTAGAATCTGCAAAGGGATATTTGGGAGTCCACTGAGGTACATGGTGAAAAAGAAAACATCTTCAGATAGAATCTAAAAAGAATCTTTCTGAGAAACTGCTTTGTGATGGGTGCATTTGTCTCATGGAGTAAAACATTTCTTTTGATTGAGCAGTGTTAAAACACCAATTTTATCCATTCTGTGAATAGATATTTGGGAGCACATTGAGACCAATGGCAAAAAAGCAAATGTCCCAGGATAAAAACTAGAGGGAAGCTATCTGAGGAACCACGTTGTGATATGTGCTTTCATCTCTCAGACTTAAGCCTTTCTTTGAATTCAGCAGTTTGAAAATGCTGTTTTTGTCTATTCTGCTAATGGACACTAGGGAGCTCAGTTTGGAAACACTGTTTTTTTTTTTCCATTCTGCAAATGGACATTTGGGATCTCATTGAGGCCAATGAAAAAAGGTGAATGTCCCACAATAAAAACTAGAAGGTAGCCATCTGAGAGACCACTTTGTGATAGGTGGTTTCATCTCACAGAGTTAAACTTTTCTTTCCATTCAGCAGTTTGAAAACATTGTTTTTGTAGAATCTGCGAAGGGATATTTGAGAGAGCATTGAGGCCTATAGTGAAAAAGGAAACATTTTCATATAAAAACTAGAAATAAGTTTTCTGAGAAACTGCTTTGTGATGTGTGCATTGATTTCACAGAGTTAAACCTTTCTTTGGATTCAGCAGGTTGGAAACACTGTTGTGGTCCATTCTGAAAATCAACATTTGGGAGCTCATTCACACCAATGGCAAAAAAGCAAATATCACATTTTAAAAACTAGAAGGAAGTTCCCTGAGAAAACATTTTGTGATGTGTGCATTGATCTCTCAGAGTTAAACCTTTCTTTTCATTCAGCAGTTTGTAAACACTATTTTTGTGGCATCTGCAAAGGGATATTTGGGAGCACATTGAGGCCTATGGTGGAAAAGGAATCATCTTCAGAAGAAACTAGAAAGAATCTTTCTGAGAAACTGCTTTGTGATGTGCGCATTGATCTCATAGAATTAAAACTTTCTTTTTATTCAGGACTTTGGAAACACTGTTTTTCTAGAATCTGTGAAGGGATATTTGGGAGCTCATTGAGGCCTATAGTGAAAAATGAAACTTCTTCAGATAAAAACTAGAAAGAAGCTTTCTGACAAACATCTTTGTGATGTGTGCATTCATCTCACAGAGTCAAACCTTTCTTTGTATTTAGCAGTTTGGAAACACTGGTTTTGTCCATTGTGTGAATGGATATTTAGGAGATCTTTGAGGATGAATACAAAAAAGTGCATATCCCAGGATAAAAACTAGGAGGAAGCTATGCGAGAAAACACTTTGTGTTGTGTGCATTCATCTCACAGACTTAAACCTTTCTATTCAGTAGTTTGGAAAAACTGTTTTGAAATCTTCTGAGAAGGGACATTTGGGAACACATTGAAATCTATGTTGAAAAAGGAAACGTCTTCAGATGAGAACTACAAACAAGGTTTCTGAGAAACCTCTTTGTGATGTGTGCATTCATCTCACAGATTTAAAACTTTCTTTGTATTCAGCAGTATGGAAACACTGGTTTTGTCCATTCTGCGAATGGATATTTGGGAGCTGATTGAAGCCAATGGCGAAAAAGTGAAAATCTCAGACTAAAACTTAGAAGGAAGCTGTCTAACAAACAGCTTTGTGATGTGTGCATTCGTCTTGCAGAATTAAACCTGTCTTTTCATTCAGTACTTTGGAAACACTGTTTTGGTAGAATCTCCGAAGGGATATTTGGAAGCACATTGAGGCCTATGTTGAAAAAGGAAATATCTTCACATAAAAATTAGAAAGAAGCTTTCTGAGAAACTGCTTTAGGATGTGTGCATTTATCTCATAGAGTTAAAACTTTCATTGAATACTACATTTTGAAAACACTGTTTTTATTCATTCTGCAGATGGACATTTAGAAGCTCATTGATGACAATGGTGAAAAAGTGAATGTCCCAGGATAACAACTAGAAAAAAGCTATCTGAGAAACTGCTTTGTCATGTGTGCATTCATCCCACAGACTTAAACTTTTCTTTTCATTCGACAGTTTGAAAACACTGTTTTGGTATAATCTGTGAGGGGTTATTTGGGAGCACATGGAGGCCTAATGTGAAAAACGAAATACCTTCAGATAAAAACTAGAAAGAAGCTTTCTGAGAAAGTGCTTTTGTGATGTGTGGCTTCATCTCAGAGAGTTAAACTTTTCTTTCCATTCAGTAGAGTAGAAACACAGTTTTTGTAGAATCTGCAAAGCGATATTTGATAGCTCATTGTGGCTATAGGCAAAAAAAAGAATATCCTGAGTAAAAATTAGGGGGAAGCTATATGAGAAACGGGTTTGTGATGTGTGCATTCATCTGGCAAAGTTGAACTTTACTTTTCATTCAGCAGTTCGGAAACACTGTTTTTATAGAATCTGCAAAGGGATATTGGGGTGCACATTGAGGCCTATTGAGAAATAGGAAATACCATTAGAGAAAAACTAGCAAGAAGCTTTCTGAGAAATGGCTTTGTGATGTATGCATTCATCTCAAAGAATTAAAACTTCCTTTGGGAGTCAACAGTTTGGGAACACTGCTTTTGTAGAATCTGTGAAGGGATATTTGGGATCTCATTGAGGCCGAAGGCAAAAAAGCAAATATCCCAGGATAAAAACTAGAAGAAAACCATCTTAGAAACTGCTTTGTTATGTGTGCATTTATCTCCCAGAATTAAACCTTTCTTTTTATTCATCAGTTTGGAAACACCTTTTTAGTAGAATCTACAAAGGGATATTTCAGATCACACTGAGTCTTATGGTGGAAAAAAAATATCTTCAGATAAAAACTAGAAAGAAGCTTCCTGAGAAACTGATTTGTGATGTTTGCATTTATCTCTCAGAGTCAAAAATTTCTGTGGATTCAGCAGTTTGGAAACACAGCTTTTGTCCATTCTATGAATGGATATTTTGGAGCTCATTTAGATCAATCGTGAAAAAGTGAATATCTCAGGATAAAAACTAGAAGGAAGCTATCTGAGAAACAGCTTTGTGACGTGTACATTCATCTCACAGATTTAAACTTTTCTTTTAATTCAACAGTTTGGAAACACTGTTTTGGTAGAATATGCGAAGAAATATTTGGGAGTACATTGAGGCCTCTGGTGAAAAAGTAAATATCTTCAGATAAAAAATACAAAGAATCTTTCAGAGAAATGGCTTTGTGATGTGTGCATTCGTCTCACAGAGTTAAACCTTTCTCTGGATTCAGCTGTTTGGGAACACTGTTATTGTCAATTTTGTGAATAGATATTTGTGAGATCATTGAGACCAATTGCAAATAAAGCCAATATTCCTGGATGAAAACTACAAGGAAGCTATATGAGAAACTCTGCTTTAATGTGTACAGTCATCTCACAGAGTTAAACGTTTCTTTCATTCAGCAGTTAGAGCACAATTTTGGTATAATCTGCATAGGGATGTTTTGGAGTGCATTGGGGCATATGTCAAAAAGGAAATATCTTCAGATAAAAACTAGAAATAAGTTTTCTGAGAAATTGCTTTGAGATGTGTGCATTCATCTCAGAAATTTAAAACTTTCTGTGGATTCAGTAGTTTGGAAACTGTTTTTCTCCATTGTGTGAATGGACATTTGGCAGTTCATTGTGGCCAATGGCAAAAAAGGGAATATACAAGGATTAAAACTTCAAGGAAGTATCTGAGAAAATGCTTCACTATGTGTGCATTCATCACCCAGAGATAAACCTTTCTTTTCATTCAGCAGTTTGGAACACTGATTTTGAAAAAACTGCAAGAGATATTTTGGAGTACATTGAGGCATATAATGAAAAAGGAAATATCTTCAGTAGAAACTAGAAAGAAGCTTTCTGAGTAACAGTTTTGTGATATGTGCATTCATCTCACAGAGTAAAACTTTTCTTTGGAGTCCACATTTTGGAAACACTGTTTTTATCCATTCTGTAAATGAACATTTGGGAGAACATTGAGGCCAATGATGAAAAAGTGATTATTTCTGTATAAAAACTAGAAGGAAGCTATGTGAGAAACCTCTTTTTGATGTTTGCATTTATGTGCCCGAGTTAAACCTTTCTTTTCATTCAGCAGTCTGGAAACACTCTTTTGGTAGAATCTGCTAAGGGATATTTGGGAATTCATTGAGGCCAAAGGGAAAAAAGTGAGTATCCCAGGATAAAAACAAGAAAGAAGCTATATGAGAAACTGCTTTGTGAGGTGTGCATTCATTTTGCAGAGTTAAACTTCTCTTTTCATTCAACAGGTTGGAAAGACGATTTAGGTAGAATCCATGAAAACATATTTTGGAGAGCATTAAGGCCTGTTGTGAAAAAGGAAATATCTTCAGATAAAAAAAGAAAGCAACTTTCTCAGAAACTGCTTTGTGATGTGTCCATTCAACTCACAGTATTGAAATTTTTTTGGATTCAGCAGTTTGGAAACAGTGTTTTTACAGAATCTGTGAAGGGATATTTGGGAGCTCATTGAGGCCAAACCAAAAAAGTGAATATCCCAGTATAAAAACCAGAAGGAAGCTATCACAGAAACTGTTTTGTGTTATGTGCATTCTTCTAACAGACTTAAACTTGTCTTTTCATTCAGCAGTTTGGAAACACTGTTTTTTAGACTCAGTGAAGTGATATTTGGGAGCACTTTGAGGCCAATGGCGAAAAACAAGAAAGAAGCTTTCTGAGAAACTGCTTTGTGATGTGTGCATTCATCTCACAGAGTTCAAACCTTCTTTGTATTCAGTAGCTTGGAAACACTCTTTTTGTGGAATCTGTAAAGGGATATTTGGGAACTCATTAAAGCCAAAGGAAAAAAAAAAAGCTTATTCCAGGATAAAAATTACAAGGAAACTATCTGAGAAACCACTTTTTTATGCTTGAATTCATCTCCCAGAGTTAAAACTTTCTTTTCATTCAGCAGTTTGGAAACACTCTTTTGGTGGAATCTGTGAGGGATATTTGGGAGCCCATTGAGGCCTATGGTGAAAAAGAAAATATCATCAAATAAAAACTAGAAAGAAACTTCCTGAGTAGCTGCTTTGGGATGTGTGTATGCATCTGACAGAGTTCGAACTTTCTTTGGATTCAGCAGCTGGGAAACATTTTATTTTTGTCCATTCTGAACATGGATATTTGGGAGTCCATTGAGGCCAAAGGTGAAAAATCGAATATACCTGGATAAAAACTAGAAAGCAGCTATCTGAGAAACCGCTTTGTGATGTATTCATTCATGTCACATAGTTTAACATTACTTTTATTCAGCAATTTGGAAACACTGTTTAGGTATAATCTGCAAATGGATATTTTGGAGTGCATTGAGGCCAATGATGAAAAGGAAATATGTTTAGATAAAAACTAGAAAGAAACTTTCTGTGAAACTACTTTGTGATGTGTGTATTCATCTCACATAGTACAACCTTTCTTTTGACTCAGCAGTTTGGAAACACTGTTTTAGTCCATTCACTGAATGGACATTTGGGAGCTCATTTAGCCCAAAGGAGAAAGAGAAAATTTCCCAGGATTAACACTAGATGAATCCCATCTGGGAAACTCCTCTGTAATGTGGGCATTCATCTCGCATAGTTAAACCTTGCTTTTCATTCAGCAGTTTGGAAGCACTGTTTTGTAGAATCTGCAAAAGGATATTTGGGAGTCTATTGAAGCCTAAGGTGAAAAAGCAAATATCTTCAGATATAAACTAGAAAGAAACTTTCTGAGAAACTGCTTTGTAACTGGAGCATTTATCTCACAGAGTTAAACTTTTATTTTTATTCAGCAATTTGGAAACACTGTTTTTGTCCATTTGAGGCCAAGGGTGACAAATTGAATATCCCAGGACAAAAGCTAGAAGGAAGGTATCTGAGAAATTACTATGTGATGTGTGCAACCATCTCACAGAGCTAAAATTCTTTTTTGTTTCAGAAGTTTGGAAATACTGTTTTTCAGAATGTGTGAAGGGATAATTGGGAGAGCTTTGAGGTCTATGGTGAAAAGGGAAATATCTTCAGATAAAAACGAGATGTAATCATTCTAAGAAATTGCTTTATGATGTCTGCATTCATCTCAAAGAGTTAAACATTCGTTTGGATTCAGCACTTAGGAGGCAATGTTTTTGTCCATTCTGCGAATGGACATATGGCTGCTTATTGAGGCCAATGGCAAAATACCGAATATCCCAGTATAAAAACTAGAAGGAAGCTCTCTGAGAAATGGCTTTGTGATGTGTGCATTCATCTCACACAATTAGACCTTTCTTTTCATTGAGCAGTTTGGAAACACTGTGTTTTTAGAATGCGTGAAGGGATATTTTGGAGAGTACTGTGGCCTACAGTGAAAAAGGAAATGTTTTCATATAAAAACTAGAGAGAAGATTTCTGAGAACCTCCTTTTTGATGTGTGCCTTTGACACAGAGTTAAACCTTTCTTTGGATACAGCAGTTTAGAAACATTGTTTTTGTCCCTTTTGTGAATGGAAATTTGGGAAGTCATTGAGGCCAATGGCAAAGAACAAAATATCCCAGGGTAAAAACTAGAAGGAAGCTGACTGAGAAACCACTTTGTGATGATTGCATGCATCTCACAAAGTTAAACCTTTTTTTTCAATCAGCGGTTTGGAAACACTGTTTTTGTAGGATCTGTGAGGGGATACTTGGGTGCACATTGAGGCCTATGGTGAAAAAGGAAACATTTTCACTTAAAAACTAGAAATAAGCTTTCTGAGAAACTGTCTTGTGATTTGTGTATTCATTACACAATCTTAAAACGTTGTTTGGATTCAGCAGTTTGGAAACACTGTTTTTATGGAATCTGTGAAAGGACATTTGGGAGCTCTTTGAGCCAAAAGGCAAAAGAGTGATTAGAATTAGAAGGTAGCCATCTGAGAAAATGCTTTGATATGTGTGCATTCATCTCGCAGAGTTAAACTTTTTTATTCATTCAACACTTTGGGAACACTGTTTTTGTAGAATATGTGAGGGGAAATTTGGGGCAATTTGAGCCCTATTTTTTTTCTCGCCATAAGCCTCAATGCTCTCCCAAATATCCCTTCCCAGATTCAACAAGGAAATATCTTCAGATAAAAACTAGAAAGAAGCTTTCTGAGTAACTGCTTTGTGATGTGTGCATTCTTCTCACAGTGTCAAACCTTTCTTTGGATTCTTCAGTTTGGAAACAGTTTTTGTAGAATCTGAGAAGGGATATTTGGAGTTTTGCCTATCATCATAGTCTTAAATGCGCTCCTAATAAGCCCTTTGCAGATTCTACCAAAACAGTGCTTCCAAACCACTGAATGAAAACAAAGTTTTAACTCTGTTGATGAATTCACACAACACAAAGAAGTTTCTCAGAAAGCTTCTTTCTAGTTTTTATCTGAAGATATTTCTTTTTTCACCATAGACCTCAATGCACTCCCAAGTATCCTTTCACAGATCCTACAAAAACAGTGGTTGCAAACTGCTGAATGAAAAGTAAACTTTAACTCTGAGAGATAAATGCATACATAACAAAGTGGTTTCTCAGATAGCTTCCTTTTGGTTTTCTCCTGGGATACTCGTTTTTTTGTCTGTGGCCTCATTGAACTCCAATTATCCCTTCACAGATTGTACAAAAATAGTGTTTCCAATCTGCTCAATGCAAGGAAATGTTTAACTTGGCAAGGTGAATGCATACATCACAAAGCAGTTTCTCACATAGCTTCTGTCTGGTTTTTATTCTGGGATATTTGCTTTTTGGATTTTGGCCTCAATGAGCTCCAAAACATCCCTTTCAAGATTCTAAAAAAACGGTGTTTCAAACTATTGAATCCAAATAATGATTTAACTCTGTGAGATGAATTCATACATCACAAGGCAGTTTCTCAGAAAGCTTCTTTCTGTTTTTAATATGAAGATATTTCCTTATTCACTGTAGGCCTCAATGTGCTCTAAATATCCCTTCATGGATTCTACCAAAACAGTGTTTCCAAACTGCTGAATTGGAAGAAAGGTTTAACTCTACTAGATGAATGCACACATCATGTAACTGTTCCTCAGATTGCTTCCTTCTTGTTTTTACCCTGGGATATTCACTTTGTCACTATTGGCCTCAATGAGATCCCTAATGTCCATTCACAGAATGGACAAAAACAGTTTTTCCAAGCTACAGAATCGAAGGAAAGGTTTAAGTCTCTGAGATGAAAGCACACATCACAAAGCAGTTTCTCAGAAAGCTTCTTTCTAGTTATTATCTGAATATATTTCCTTTTTCACCATAGGCCTCAAAGTGCTCCAAAATAGCCCTTCGCAGATTCTACCAAAAGAGTGTTTCCAAACTGCTGAATGAAAACAAAGGTTTAACTCTGTGAGATGAATTCACACATAATAAAGCGGTTTTTCAGCTTGATTTCCTCTTATTTTTATCCTGCCATATTCGCTTTTTCACCATTGGCCTCAATTAACTTCCAAATGTCCATTCGCAGAATGCACAAAAGCAGTGCTTCCAAACTGTTGAATCCAAATGAAGGTTTAACTCTGTTAGATGAATGCACACATTCCAAAGCAGTTTCTCAGATAGCTTCCTTGTAGTTTTTATCCAGAGATATTCACTTTTTCACCTATGGCCTCCATGAGCTATGAAATATCCCTTAGAAAATTCTACAGAAACAGTGTTTCCAAACTGCTGAATCCAAAGAAAGTTTTAAATCTGTGAGATGAATGCAGACATCAGAAAGCAGTTTCTCAGAAAAAGCTATTTTCTACTTTTTATCTGAATATGTTTCCTTCTTCACCATAGGCCTCAATATGCTCCCAAATATCCCTTTGCAGATTCTACAAATACAGTGTTTCCAAGCTGCTGAATCACAGGAAATTTTAAAGTCTGTCAGATGAGTGCACACATCACAAACCTGTTTCTCAGAAAGTTTCTTTCTAGTTTTTATCCAAAGATATTTTCCTTTTTCACCATAGGCCTCAGTGCACTCCCAAATATTCCTTCACACATACTATGGAAAAATGTTTCCAAACTGCTGAAAGAAAAGAAAGGTTTAATTTTGTGAGATGAAAGCAAACATTACAAGCGGTTTCTCAAATAGCTTCCTTCTAGTTTGTATCCTGGGATATTCCCTTTCTCACCTTTGACCTCCATGAGCTCCAAAATATCCATTAGCAGAATGGACTAAAACAGTGTTTCCAAACTGCTGAATCCAAAGATAGTTTTAACTCTGTGAGATGAATGCACACATCACAAAGGAGTTTCAGGAAATTTCTTTCTAGCTTTTATTTGAAGATATTTCCTTTTTCACCTTAGCCCTCAATGTGCTCCCAAATATCCCTTCAGAGATTCTACCAAAACAGTGTTTCCAAAATGCTGAATGAAAAGGAGTTTTTAACTCTGTGAGTTGAAGGCACACATAACTGAGCAGTTTTTCAGATAGATTCCTTCTAGTTTATATCCTCAGATATTTGCTTTATCGCCTTTGGCCTCAATGAGTTGCCAAATATCCTTATGCAGATTCTACAAAACTAGTGTTTACAAACTGCTGAATCCAAAGACATGTTTAACTCTCTGAGATGAAAACACATATCACAAAGCAGTTTCCCGGAAATCTTCTTTCTAGTTTTTAACTGAAGATATTTCCCTTTTCATGAGAGGCTTCAATGTGCTGCTGAATATCCCTTCACAAATGCTACCAAAATAGTTTTTCCAAACTGCTGAATGAAATGAAAGGTTTAACTGTGTGAGGTGAATGCACACATAACAAACTAGTTTCTCAGATATCTTCCTTCTAGTTTTTATCCTGGAAGGATTGCTTTTTCGAATATGGCCTCAACGTGCTATGAAATATCCCTATGCAGATTCTACAAAAACAGTGTTTCCAAAATGCTGAATCAACAGAACTGTTTAACTCTGTGAGATGAGTGCACACATCAGAAAGTGGTTTCTCAGATAGCTTCCTTCTGGTTTTTCCCTGGGATATTTACTTTTTCACCTTAGGCCTCTATGTGATCCCAAATATCCCTTCACAGATTTTACCAAATTTCTTCCAAAGCTCCTGAAGGAAAAGAACGGTTTAATTTTGTGAGATGAATTGACACATCACAAACCAGTTTCTCAGGTAGCTTGATTCAAGTTTTTATCCAGAGATATTCACTTTTTCACCATTCACCTCAATGAGATTCCAAATGTCCATTTGCAGAATGGACAAAAACAGTGCTTCCCAACAGCTGAATCAAAAGAAAGTTTTAAATCTCTGAGATGAATGCACAGATCACAAAGCAGTTTATCAGAAAACTTCTTTCTAGTTTTTATCTGAAGATATTTCTTTTTTCACCATAGGCTTCAATGCTCTCCTAAATATCCCTTTGCAGATTCTACAAAAACAGTGTTTCCAAACTACTGAATGAAAAGGAAGTTTTATCTCTGCAAGATGACGGTTTCTCAGATAGCTTCCTTCTAGTTTTTATACTGGGATGTTTGCATTTTTGTCATTGGTTTCAGTGGGATCACAAATGCCCATTCTCAGAATGGACAAAAGTAGTGTTTCCAAACTGCTTAATAAAATGAAAGTTTTAAATCTGTAAGATGAATACACACATCACAAAGCTGTTTCTCAGAAAGCTTCTTTCTATTTAGTATCTGAATATATTTCCTTTCTCACCATAGGCCTCAAAGCTCTCTCAAATATCCCTTCACAGATTCTACCAAAACAATGTTTCCAAACTGCTGAAAGAAAAAAAGAGATTTACCTCTGGGAGATGATTGTGCACAACACAAAGATATTTCTCAGAATGCTTCTTTCTAGTTTTCATCTGAAGATATTTCCTTTTCCACAATAGGCCTCGATATGTCCCAAATATCCCTTCACAGATTTTACCAAAGCAATGATTCCAGACTGCTGAATGAAAAGCAAGTTTTCAGTTTGCTAAATGAACACACACATCACAAAGCAGTTTCTCAGATTGCTTCCTTCTAGTTTTTATCCTTAGATATTCCCTTTTTCTCCTTTGCCCACAATGAGCTCCCAAATATCCCTTTGCAGAATCTACCAAAACAGTGTTTTCAAGTTGCTGAATCCAAAAAAAATTTTAAATCTTTGAGATTAATGCATACATCACAAGGCAGTTTCTCAGCAATCGTCTTTCTTATTTTTATCTGAAGATATTTCCTTTTCAACCAGAGATGACAATGCGCACCCAAATATCCTTCGCAGATTGTAAAATACACTGTTTCCACACTGATGAATGAAAAGAGAAGCATAACTCCTCTGCTAGATGAATATGCACATTATACAGCTTTTTCTGATAGCTTCCTTCTAGTTTTTATATGAGGATAAAAACTTTTGCACCATTGGCCTCAATGAGTTCCCAAACGTCCATTCACTGAATGGACAAAAACAGTTTTTCAAAACTGCTAAATGCAACGAAAGTTTTAACTCTGTGAGGTGAATGCACACATCACAAAGCGGTTTGTCAGAAAGCTTCTTTCTATTTTTTTATCTGATGATATTTTTATTTTTCAACATGGGCCTCAAAGCGTTCCCAAATATCCCTTCACAGTTTCTAAAAAATATACTTTCCAAACTGCTGAACGAATAGACCACTTTCACTCTGTGAGATGAATGCACACATCCCACAGCATTTCCTCCAATAGCTCCAAGTGCTGAATCCATAGAAGGGTTTAACTCTCTGAGATGAATGCATACATCACAAAGCAGTGTCTCACAATGCTTCTTTCTAGTTTTTATCTGAAGATATTTCCTTTTTAACCATATGCCTCATTGCATTCCCAAATATCCCATCATAGATTCTACAAAAACAGTGTTTCCAAACTGCTGAATGAAAAGAAAGTTTTAACACTCTGAGTTGAATGCATACATCACAAAGTGGTTTCTCAGATAGCTTGCTTCTAGTTTTTATCCTGGGAAAATCAGTTTCTCACCATTGTAGTCAATGACCTCCCAAGTGTCCATTCACGGAACGGACAAAAACAGTGTTTGAAAACTACTGAATCCAAAGAAAGGTTTAAATCTGTGGGATGAATGCAAACATCACAAAGCAGTTTCTCAGAAAGCTACTTTCTAGGTTTTATCTGAAGATATTTCCTTTTTCACCATAGGCCTCATTTTGCTACCAAATATCCCTTCACAGATTCTACAAAAACATTTTATTCCAACAACAGCTAAATGACAAGAAATGTTTAACTCTGTGAGGTGAATGCACACATCACAAAACAGTTTATCATATACTTTCCTTCTAGTCTTTATCCTGGGATATTCGCTTTTTCTCCTTTGGCCTCAAAGAGCTGCCAAATATCTGTTTGAAGATTCTATAAAAAGAATGTTTCCAAACTGCTGAGTCCACAGAACATTTTAACTCTGTGAGATGAATGCATACTTTACAGGGAAGTTTCTCAGAAAGCTCCTTTTACCTTTCATCTGAAGATATTTCCTTTTTCACCGTAGGCCTCAATGCTGTCCCAAATATCCCTTTGCAGATTCTACAAAAACAGTGTTTCCAAACTGTGGAATGAAATTAAAGGTTTAGCTCTTCGAGATGAATGCACACATCACAAAGCAGTTTCTCAGATAGATTCCTTCTAGTTTCTATCCTGGGATATTTGCTTTTTCACATATTGCCTAAATAAGCTATCAAATATCCATTTACACATTCTACAAAAACAGTTTTCAAAACTGCTGAATCCAAAGATAGGTGGAACTCAGTGAGATGAACATACACATCACAAAGTAGTTTCTCAGAAAACTTCTTTCTAATTTTTAACTGAAGATATTTGCTTTTTCACCATAGGCCTCAATGCATTCCCAAAATTCCCTTTGCAGATTCTGCCAAAATAGTGTTTCCAAACTGCTAAAAGAAAAGAAAGTTTTAACTCTGCGAGATAAGTGCACACATCAGAAAGTGGTTTCTCAGATAGCTTTCTTCTATTTTTTATAATGGGATATTTGCTTTTTGGTGTGTGGCCTAGATGAGCTATCAAATATCCTTTTGCTTATTCTACAAAAATGTTTTCTATGATTCTGAATCCAAAGAAAGATTGAACTCTTTGAGATGAATGCACACATCACAAAGCAATTTTTCATAATGCTTCTTTATATTTTTTATCTGAAGATATTTCCTTTTTCACCATAAGTGTCAATAGTCTCCCAAATATTACCTCACAGACTCTACCAAAACAGTGTTTCCAAACTACTGAATGAAAAGAAAGGTTTAAGCCAGCGAGGTAAATGCACACATCACAAAGTGGTTTCTCAAAGAGCTTCCTTCTAGTTTTTATCCTGGGATGATACCTTCTTTGCCATTGGCATCAACGAGCTTCCAAATATCCCTTCACAGCATCTACAAAAACAGTGTTTGCAAATTGCTGAATCCAAAGAAAGTTTAGCTCTGTGAGTTTAATGCACACATCACAAAGCTGTTTCTCAGCAAGCTTCTTTCTTGTATTTATCTGAAGATATTTGCTTTTCAACCTTAGGCCTCATAGCACTCCAAAATATCCCCTAGCTGATTCTACAAAAACAGTGTTTCCAAAGTGCTGAATGAAAAGAAACGTTTAACTCTGTGAAATGAATGCACACATCACAAAGAGGTTTCTCAAATAGCTACCTTCTAGTTTTTATCCTGGGATACTCGTTTTTTGCATTTAGTCTCAAAAAGCTCCCAAATATCTCTTCACAGATTCTACAAAACACTACTCCCAAACTGCTGAAACCAAAGAAAGGTTGTGCACTTTGAGACGAATGCTCACATCACAAGTCAATTATTCAGAAAGCATATTTCTAGTTTTTATCTGAAGATATTTCCTTTTTCACCATAGGCCTCAAAGTGCTACAAAATATCCCTTCACAGATTCTGAAAAACAGTGTTTCCAAACGCCTGAATAAAAAGAGAAGTTTAACTCTGTGAGTTGATTCTACACATCACATGGCAGTTTCTCAGATACCTTCCTTCTAGTTTTTATACTGGGATATTTGTTTTTTTGCTCTTGGCCTTAATGAGCACCAAAGTGTCCTTTCACAAAATGGACCTAAACAGTGTTTCCAACCTGCCAAATGAAAAGAAAGGTTTAACTGTGTGAGATCATTCCACACATCACAAAGCAGTTACTCAGAAAGCTTCTTTCTAGTTTTCATCTAAAGACATTTCCTTTTTCACCATAGGCCTCAATGCACCCTAAAATATCCATTCACAGATTCTATCTAAACAGTGTTTCCAAACTGCTGAATGGAAAGAAGGGTTAAATTCTGAGAGATGAATGTGCACAATCCAAAGCAGTTTCTCAGATATCTTCTTTCTAGTTTTTATCTGAAGATATCACCTTTTTCAACATAGGCCTGAATATGCTCCAAAATATCCCAATGGAGATACTACAAAAACTGTGTTTGCAAACTGCTGAATGAAAGGAAAGGTTTAACTCTGCAAGATGAATGCATATATCACAAAGCAGTTTCTCAGATAGCTTCCTTCTATTTCTTATGCTGGGGTATATTCTTTTCCACCTATGGCCTCACTGAGCCATCAAATATTCCTATGCAGATTCTTAAAAGCCATGTTTCCAAACGGTTGAATAAAAAGACAGGTTTAACTCTGAGATGAATGCACAAATCACAAGCAGATTCTCAAATAGCTTCCTTCAGGTTTTTATCCTGGTATATTCACTTATTAGCCATTGGCCTCAATGGGCTCCCAAATGTCCATTCGTGGAATGGATAAAAACTTGTTCCAAACTGCTGAATCCAAAGAAAGGTTTAACTCTGTGAGATGAATGCACACATCACAGTGCAGTTTCTCAGAAAGCTTCTTTATAGTTTTTATCTAAAGATAATTCCTTTTTCACCATAGGCCTCAATTGACTCCGAAATATCCATTCGCAGTTTCTACAAAAACAGTATATCCAAAGTGCTGAATGAAAAGAAAAAATTAACTCTGTGATATGAATGCACACATCAAAAAGCGGTTCCTCAGATAGCTTTCTTCTAGTTTTTATCTTGGGATAATTGCTAGTTAACGTTTGTCCTCAATTATCTCCCAAATAACCTGTCACAGATTCTACAAAAGCACTGATTCCAAACTGCTGAAATCAAAAAAAGATTTAACTCTGTGAGGTGAGTGCACTTATCACAAAGCAGTTTCTCAGAAATCTTCCTTCTATTTTTATCCTTTGATATTCACTTTTTACGCTTTGGCCTGAATGAGCTCCCAAATATCTCTTCACAGATTCTATAAAAACATTGTTTCCAAACTGCTGAATGAAAAGAAATGTTTAACTCTGTGAGCTGAATGCATGCATCTCAAACCAGTTTCTCAGAAACTTCTTTCTAGTTTGTTTCTGAAGATATTTCCTTTTTAACGATATGCCTCAAGGTGCTTCTAAATATCCCTTCACAGATTCCACCAAAACAGAGTTTCCAAACTGCTGACAGAAAAGAAAGTTTTAACTCTGTGAGATGAATGCACACATCCCAAATTGGTTACTCGGATAGTTTTCATCTAGTTTTGATTTTGGGATATTGGCTTTTTCACCATTGGCCTCAAGGAGTTCCCACATTTCTATTCAGAGAATGGACGAAAACAGTGTTTCCAAACTGCTGAATCCAAAGAAAGATTTAACTCTGTGAGTTGAATGTACACATCACAAAGCAGTTTCTCAGAAAATTTCTCTCTCGTTTTTATCTGAGGATATTTCCTTTTTCACCATAAGACTCAATGCACACCCAAATATCCCTTTGCAGATTCTACAAAAATAGTGTTTCAAAATTGCTGAATGAAAAGAAAGGTTTCTGTGTGAGATGAATGCAAACATCAGAAAGTGGTTTCTCAGATAGCTTTCTTCTAGTTTTTATCCTGAGATATGATTTTTCTCCTTTGGCCTCAATAAGCCTCCAAATATCCCTTCACAGGTTCTACAAAAACAGTGTTTCCAAACTGCTGAATTCAAGGAAACCTGTAATTCTCTGCGATATATTACACATCATGAAATAATTTCTCAGAAAGCTTCTTTCTAGTTTTTATTTGAAGATATTTCCTTTTTCACCATAGGCCTCAAAGCACTCCCAAATATCACTATGCAGTCTCTAAAAAGCAGTGTTTCAAAACTGCTGAATGAAAAGACAAGTTTAACTCTGTGAGATGAATGCACACATTACAAAGCAGTCTCTCAGATAGATTTCTTCTACGTTTTATCCTAGGATACTCCTTTTTTCACCATTGGCCTCAAAGAGCTCCCAAATGTCCATTCACAGAATGTACAAAACCAGTGTTTCCAAACTGCTGAATCCAAGGAAAGGTTTAACTCTCTAAGATGAAAGCACAGATCACAGAAGCTTTTCTCGGAAAGCTTCTTTCTTGTTTTTACCTTAAGATATTTCCTTTTACACCATAGGCCTCAATGCATTCCCAAATATCAATTCACAGATTCTACAAAAACAGTGTTTCCAAGCTGCTGAATGCAGAGAAAGTTTTAACTCTGCAAGATGAATGCACATATCACCCTGCAGTTCCTCAGTTTGCTTCCTTCTAGATTTTATCATGAGTATTTGTTTTACAGCCTTTGGCCTCAATGAGCTCCCAAATATCCATTGGCAGAATGGACCAAACATTGTTTCCAAACTGCTGAATCCAAAGAAAGGATAAACTCTGTGAGATGAATGCACTCATCACAATGTAGTTTCTGATGGAGCTTCTTTCTAGTTTTTACCTGAAGATATATCCTTTTTCAATGTAGGCCTCAACATACTCCCAAATATCCCTTCACAGATTCTACAAAAACAGTGCTTCCAATCTGCTGAATAAGAAGAAAATTTTAGATCTGAGAGATGATTGTGCACATCACAAAGTTGTTTCTCAGATAGCTTCCTTCTATTTTTTATTGTAGGATATTCACTTTTTCACCATTGTCCTAAATGAGCTCCCAAATGTCCATTCGCAGAATGGACAAAGACAGTGTTTCCAAACTGATGAATCCAAAAATAGGCTTACTTCTGTGCGGTGAATGCACTCATGAAAAAGTAGTTTCTCAGGAAGCTTCCTTCTAGTTTTTATCCTGGGATATTCGATTTTTTGACTTTGGCCTCAATGAGCTCCCATACATCCATTCACACAATGTACGAAAACACTGTTTCCAAACTACTGAATCGAAAGAAAGGTATATCTCTGTGAGACGAATGCACACATCACCAAGCAGTTTCTCAGAAAGCTTCTTCCTAGTTTTTATCTGAAGATGTTTCCTTTTCCACCGTAGGTCTCAGTACTCCCCCAAATATCCCTTCAAAGATACTACATAAGCACTGTTTCAAAACAGCTGAATGAAAAGTAAATTTTAACTCTAAGAAATGAAAGCACACATCACAAAGTTGTTTCTAAGATAGTTTCCTTCTAGTTTTTATCCTGAGGTAGTTCATTTTCTCCATTCCTCTCAATGAGTCCCAATATGTCCATTTGCAGAATCAACAAAAACAGTGTTTTGAAACTGCTGAATCAAAAGAAAGGTTTAACTCTGTGATGAATGTACACTTCATGAAGCAGTTTCTCAGAAAGCTTCTTTCTAATTTTTTTCTAAAGATATTTTCTTTTTCACCATAGGCCTCAATGCACTCTTGGATATCCCTTTGCACTTTCTATAAAAGCAGTAATTCCAAACAGCTGAATAAAAAGAAAGATTTAAATCTGTGAGATGAATGCACACATCACATAGCTGTTCCTCCAATAGCTTCCTTGTAGTTTTTATCATGGGATAGTCCCTTTTTCACCATTGTCCTCAAAGAGCTCCCATTGTCCAGTAGCAGAATGGAAAAAAAACAGTGGTTCCAAACTGATGAATCCAAAGAAAATTTTAACTCTGTGGGGTGAATGCGCACATCACAAAGCAGTTTCTTAGTAAGCTTCTTTCTAGTTTTTATCTGAATATGTTTCCCTTTTCATTATAGACCTCATTGTGCTCCCAATTATCCAAAACAGTGTTTCAAAACAGCTGAATGGAAAGAAAGGTTTAACTCTGTGAGATAAATGCACACAACACCAAGATGTTTCTCAGATATCTTCCTTATAGTTTTTATCCTGAATTAATTTCTTCTTTGCCATAGGCCTCAAATAACTCCAATATGTCCATTTTCAGAATCAACAAAAACAGTTTTCACACTGCTGAATCAAATAAATGTTTAACACTGTGAGATGAATGCACACTTCACAAAGCAGTTTCTCAGAAAGTTTCTTTCTAGTTTCTATCTGACTGTGAGATCAATCCAAACATCACACACTTGTTCGTCCCATAGCTTCCTATTAGTTTTCATCCTGTGTTATTTGCTTTTTCACCATTGGCCTCTATGAGATCCCATTGTCCATTTGCAATGGACAAAAACAGTTTTTACAAATTGTTGAATCCAAAGAAATGTTTAACTCTGTGAGATGAATGCACACATAACAAAGCAGATTCTCAGAGAGATTCTTTCTAGTTTTTAACTGAAGATGTTTCCTTTTTCACCATAGGTTTCTATGCATGCCCAAATATCCCTTCGCAGATTCTACAAAAACAGTGATTCCAAACTGCTGAATGAAAAGAAATGTTTAACTCTGCAAGAAGAATGCACACATCACCAAGAGGTTTCTCAGATAGATTCCTTCTCTTTTTTAGGCAGAGATATTCACTTTTTTGCTATTGGCCTCAATGAGCTTCCAAATTTTGATTTGCAGAATGGATAAAAACAGTGTTTCCAAAATGGTGACTCCAAAGAAAGGCTTAGCTCTGTGAGATGAATGCACACATCAAATAACAGATTCTGAGAAAACTTCTTTCTCATTGTTATCTGATGATGTTTTGTTTCTGCCATAGGCCTCAATGAGCACCCAAATATCCCTTCACAGATTCTACAGAAACAGACTTTCCAATCTGCCAAATGAAAAGAAAATTTTAATTTTGTTAGATGAATGTGCACATCACAAAGTTGTTTCCATATGGCTTTCTTCTAGTTTTTATGTAGCATATTCGCTTTTTCACTATTATCCTCAGTGAGCTCCAATATGTGCATTCACAGAATTGACAAAAATAGTGTTTCCCCACTGCCGAATCCAAAGAAAGCTTTAACTCTGTGAGGTGAATGCACACATCACAAAGCAGTTTCTCAGAAAGCTTCTTTCTAGGTCTATCTGAAGATGTTTCCTTTTTGCCACAGGCCTCAATGCACTCCATAATATCCCTTTGCAGAATCTACAAAAACAGTGTTTCCAAACTGCTGAATAAAAAGAAAAGCTTAACTCTGAGAGATGCATGCACACATCACAAAGTGGTTTCTCAGACAGCTTCTTTCTCATTTTTGTGCTGAGGTATTCACTTTTTTGCCATTGGCTTCAATGAGCTCCCAAATGTCCATTTGCAGAATGGACCAAAAAAGTGTTTCTAAACTACTGAACCAAAAGAAACGTTTACCTCTGTGAGATGAATGCATACAACACAAAGCAGTATCTCAGAAACTTCCTTCTAGTTTTTATCTGAATATGTTTCCTTTTTCACTGTAGGCCTCAAGGTCCTAACAAAGATCCTTTCTCAGATTCTACAAAAACAGTGTTTCCAAACTGCTGAATGAAAAGAAATGTTTAAAACAGTGAGAAGAATGTTCATATCACAAAGTGGTTACTCAGATATCTTCCATCTACTCTTCATCATGGGATATTCCCTTTTTCACCTTTGGCCACAGGGGCTCCAATATCTGCATTCACAGAATTGACAAAAATTGTGTTTCCAAACAGCTGAGTCCAAAGAAAGGCTTACCACTCTGAGATGAATGCACACATCAGAAAGCAATTTCTCAGAAAGCTTCCTTGTAGTTTTATCTGAAGATATTTCCTTTTTGCCATAGGTCTCAATGCACTCCCAAATATCCCTTCACAGATTCTAAGAAAACAGTGTTTCCAAACTTATGAATGAAAAGAAAGGTTTAACACTGCAAGAAGAAAGAACACATCACAAACCAGTTTCTCAGAGAGCTTCCTTCTAGTTTTTATCCTGGCATATTCGATTTTTCACCATTGGCCTCACTGAGCTCCCAAATGTCCATCCACAAATTGGACAAACACAGTGTTTCCAAACTCCTGAATCCAAGAAAATGTTTAACTTTGTGAGATGAATGCATATATAACAAAGCACTTTCTCCCAAACTTCTTTCTAGTTTTTATCTCAAGATGTTTCTTTTTCACCATAGACCTCAATGTGCTCCAAAATATCCCTTCACAGATTCTACCAAAACAGTGTTTGCAAACTGTTGAATCTAAAGAAAGTTTTAATTCTGCAAGATGAATGCTCATAACACAAAGCAGTTTCTCAGATAGCTTCCTTCAAGTGTTTATCCTGGAATACTCACTTTTTGGCCATTGGCCTAAATAAGCTACAAAATGTCCACTGACAGAATGGACAAAAACAGTGTTTCCAAAACGCTGAATGAAAAGAAAAGTTTAATTCTGCCAGATGAATCAACACATCACAAAGTGGTTTCTGAGAGGGATTCCTTCTGGTTCTTATACTATTGTATTTGCTTTTTTCCTTTGGCCTCAAGTTGCACCCAAATGTCCATTCACAGAATGGGCAAAAAAAGTGCTTCCAGACTCCTGAATGAAAAGAAATGTTTAGCTCTCTGAGTTGAATACACATATCACAAGGCAGTTTCTCAGAAAGATTCTTTGTTGTTTTTATCTAAAGATGTTTCCTTTCCAACATAGTCCTCAATGTGCTCCCAAATATACCTTCGCATATTCTTCAAAAACATTGTTTCCATACTGTTGAAGGAAAAGAAAGGTTTAACTCTGTGAGGTGAATGCACACATCACAAAGCAGTTTCTCCGATAGCTTCCTTCTAGTTTTTATCATGGGATATTTGCTTTCTCACCATTGTCCTCAATGAGCTCCCAAATATAAATTCGCAGACTGAACAAAAAGAGTGTTTTCAAACTGCTGAATCCAAAGAGAAGTTTAAATCTGTGAGGAGAATGCACCCATCTCAAAGCAGTTTCTCAGAAAGCTTCTTCCTTATTTTTATCTGAAAATGTTTCCTTTTTCACCATAGGCTTCAATGCGCTCGCAAATATCTTTTTGCAGATTCTTCAAAAACAATGTCTCCAAACTGCTGAATAAAAAGAAAGATTTCAATCTGCGAGATGAATGCACACATCACATAGTGGTTTATCAGATTGCTTCCTTCTAGAATTTTATCCTGGGATATTAGCTTTTTTTCCTTTGGCCTCAATGAGCTCCAAAATGTCCACTCGCAGAATGGACAAAAGCAGTGTTTCCAAACTGCTGAACCTAAAGGAAGGTGTAACTCTGTGAGTTGAATGCATATATCACAAACCAGTTTCTCAGAACACTTCTTTCTAGTTGTCTGAAGGTATTTCCTTTTTTACCATTGGCCTCAATGCGCTCCAAATTATCCCTTTGTAGATACTACAAAAAGAGTGTTTACCAACTGCTGAATGAAAAGAAAGGTTTAGTTCTATGAGATGAATGCACACATCACAAAGTGGTTTCTTAGATAGCTTACATCTAGTTTTTATCCTGGGATACAATCTTTTTTAGCCATTGCCTTCAATGAGCTCCCAAAATTCCATTTGCAAAATGGACAAAAAAAGTTTTTCCAAACTGCTGAAAAAAAGAAAGGGTTAACTCTGTGGGATGAATGCACACGTCTCAAAGCAGTTTCTCAGAAAGCTTCTGTCCAGTTTTCATCTGAAGATGTTTCCTTTTTCACTCTAAGCCTCAATGCCTTCCCAAATATCCCTTCACAGATTCTTCAAAAACAGTTCTTACAAATGGCTGAAGGAAAAGAAAGATTTAACTCTGAGAGATCAAGGCACACATCACAAAGTTGTTTCTCAGATAACTTCCTTCTAGTTTTTATCTTGGTACTTTCACTTTATTGTGATTGGCCTTAATGAGCTATAAAATGTCTACTTGTGGAATAGAAAAAACCATGTTTCCAAATTCCTGAATCCAAAGAAAAGTTTAAATCTGTGAGATGAATGCACAGATCACAAAGCAGTTTATCAAAATGTCTCTTTCTAGTTTTTATCTGAATATGTTTCCTTTTTCCCTATTGGACTCTATGGGCTCCAAAACCTCCTTTAGCAGATTATACAAAAACACTGTTTCCAAATGGCTGAATGAAAAGGAAGGTTTAAACTGGTGAGATGAATGCACACATCACAAAGCTATCTCTCAGAGAGCTTCCTTCTAGTTTTTTTCCTGGTATATTCACTTTTTAGCCATTGGTCTCAATGAGCTCCCAAATGCCCATTTGCAGAATGGACAAAAACAGTGTTTCTAAATTGCTAAATGAAAAGAAAGCTTTAACTCTGTGAGATGAAAGCACACATCAAGAAGCAGTTTCTCAGAAAGCTTCTTTCTAGTTTTTATCTGAAGATGTTTCCTTTTTCACCATAGGCCTCAATGCGCTCCCAAATATCCCTTTGCAGATTCTACAAAGAGTGTTTCCAAACTGCTGAATGAAAAGAAACGTTTAGCTCAGCGAAATGAATGCACGCGTTATACACTGTTTCTCAGATAGCTTCTTTACAGTTTTCATCCTGGGATATTTGCTATTTCACATTGGCCTCAATGAGCTCCCAAATGTCCATTCATAGAATGGACAAAAACACTGTTTCCAAACTGCAGAATCCAAAGAAAGGTTAAAATCTGTGAGATGAATGCACATATCACAAAGCAGTTTCTCAGAAAATTTCTTTCTAGTTTTAGTCTGAAGATATTTCCTTTTTCACCATAGGCATCGATGCACTCCTAAATATCCCTTCACAGATTCTACAAATACAGTGATTCCAAACTGCTGAATGACAAGAAAGGTTTAACACTGTGAGATGAATGCACACACTTAAAGCACTTTCTCAGATAGCTTCATTCTAGTTTTATCCTGGGATATTGGACTTTTCATCATTGGACTCAATGAGCTCCAAAATGTCCATTCACAGAATGGACGATTCCTTCTGAAACTATTCCAATCAATAGAAAAAGAGGGAATCCTCCCTAACTCATTTTATGAGGCCAACATCATTCTGATACCAAAGCCGGGCAGAGACACAACCAAAAAAGAGAATTTTAGACCAATATCCTTGATGAACATTGATGCCAAAAACCCTCAATAAAATACTGGCAAACCGAATCCAGCAGCACATCAAAAAGCTTATCCACCATGATCAAGTGGGCTTCATCCCTGTGATGCAAGGCTGGTTAAATATACGCAAATCAATAAATGTAATCCAGCATATAAACAGAGGCAAAGACAAAAACCACATGATTATCTCAATAGATGCAGAAAAGGCCTTTGACAAAATTCAACAACCTTTCATGCTAAAAACTCTCAATAAATTAGGTATTGATGGGACGTATTTCAAAATAATAAGAGCTATCTATGACAAACCCACAGCCAATATCATACTGAATGGGCAAAAACTAGAAGCATTCCCTTTGAAAACTGGCACAAGACAGGGATGCCCTCTCTCACCACTCCTATTCAGCATAGTGTTGGAAGTTCTGGCCAGGGCAATTAGGCAGGAGAAGGAAATAAAAGGTATTCAGTTAGGAAAAGAGGAAGTCAAATTGTCCCTGTTTGCAGATGACATGATTGTCTATCTAGAAAACCCCATTGTCTCAGCCCAAAATCTCCTTAAGCTGATAAGCAACTTCAGCAAAGTCTCAGTATACAAAATCAATGTGCAAAAATCACAAGCATTCCTATACACCAACAACAGAGAAACAGAGAGCCAAATCATGAGTGAACTCCCATTCACAATTGCTTCAAAGAGAATAAAATACCTAGGAATCCAACTTACAAGGGATGTGAAGGACCTCTTCAAGGAGAACTACAAACCACTGCTCAAGGAAATAAAAGAGGATACAAACAAATGGAAGAACATTCCATGCTCATGGGTAGGAAGAATCAATATCGTGAGAATGGCCATACTGCCCAAGGTAATTTACAGATTCAATGCCATCCCCATCAAGCTACCAATGCCCTTCTTCACAGAATTGGAAAAAACTACTTTAAAGTTCATATGGAACCAAAAAAGAGCCCGCATCACCAAGTCAATGCTAAGCCAAAAGAACAAAGCTGGAGGCATCACACTACCTGACTTCAAACTATACTACAAGGTTACAGTAACCAAAATAGCATGGTACTGGTACCAAAACAGAGATATAGATCAATGGAACAGAACAGAGCCCTCAGAAATAACACCGCATATCTACAACTATCTGATCTTTGACAAACCTGAGAAAAACAAGCAATGGGGAAAGGATTCCCTATTTAATAAATGGTGCTGGGAAAACTGGCTAGCCATATGTAGAAAGTTGAAACTGGATCCCTTCCTTACACCTTATACAAAAATCAATTCAAGATGGATTAAGGACTTAAACCTTAGACCTAAAACCATAAAAATCCTAGAAGAAAACCTAGGCATTACCATTCAGGACATAGGCATAGGCAAGGACTTCATGTCTAAAACACCAAAAGCAATGGCAACAAAAGCCAAAATTGACAAATGGGATCTAATTAAACTAAAGAGCTTCCGCACAGCAAAAGAAACTACCATCAGAGTGAACAGGCAACCTACAAAATGGGAGAAAATTTTCGCAACCTACTCATCTGACAAAGGGCTAGTATCCAGAATCTACAATGAACTCAAACAAATTTACAAGAAAAAAACAAACAACCCCATCAAAGAGTGGGCAAAGGACATGAACAGACACTTCTCAAAAGAAGACATTTATGCAGCCAAAAAACACATGAAAAAGTGCTCACCATCACTGGCCATCAGAGAAATGCAAATCAAAACCACAATGAGATACCATCTCACATCAGTTAGAATGGTGATCATTAAAAAGTCAGGAAACAACAGGTGCTGGAGAGGATGTGGAGAAATAGCAACACTTTTACACTGTTGGTGGGACTGTAAACTAGTTCAACCATTGTGGAAGTCAGTGTGGCGATTCCTCAGGGATCTAGAACTAGAAATACCATTTGACCCAGCCATCCCATTACTGGGTATACACCCAAAGGACTATAAATCATGCTGCTATAAAGACACATGCACACGTATGTTTATTGCGGCATTATTCACAATAGCAAAGACTTGGAACCAACCCAAATGTCCAACAATGATAGACTGGATTAAGAAAATGTGGCACATATACACCATGGAATACTATGCAGCCATAAAAATGATGAGTTCATGTCCTTTGTAGGGACATGGATGAAATTGGAAATCATCATTCTCAGTAAACTATCGCAAGAACAAAAAACCAAACACCGCATATTCTCACTCATCGGTGGGAATTGAACAATGATTTCACATGGACATAGGAAGGGGAACATCACACTCTGGGGACAGTTGTGGGGTGGGGGGAGGGGGGAGAGATAGCATTGGGAGATATACCTAATGCTAGATGACGAGTTAGTGGGTGCAGCGCACCAGCATGGCACATGTATACATATGTAACTAACCTGCACAATGTGCGCATGTACCCTAAAACTTAAAGTATAATAAAAAAAAATAGTATTTCCAAACTGCTGAATGAAAAGAAAGGTTTAAGTCTGCGAGGTGAATGCACACATCATGAAGTGGTTTCTCGAATAGCTTCCTTCTAATTTTTATCCTGGGAAATTTGCTTTTTCGCCGTTAGCCTCAAGGAGCTTCCAAATGTCCACTTGCAGAATGGACCAAAACTGTTTTTCCTTAGTACTGTATCAAAAGAAATGTTTAACTTTTTGAGATGAATGCCCACATCACAAAGTCACTTCTCAGAAAGCTTCCTTCTTGTTCTTATCTGAAGATTATTCCTTTTTCACCATAGGTCTCAATGCGCTACCAAATATCCCTTCATAGTTTCCACAAAAACACTGTTTCCAAACTGCTGAATGAAAAGAAAAGTTTAACTCTGTGAGAGGAATGCACACATCACAAACTGGTTTCTCAGAAGCGTTCTCCTATTTTTTATGGTGGGGCATTCACTTTTTTGCCATTGTCCTCAATGAGCTCCTAAAATGCCCTTATGCAGAAAGGACAAAGACAGTGTTGCCATACTGCTGAATCCAAAGAAAATTTTAACTCTGTGAGATGAATACTTACATCAAAAAACAGTTTCTCACAGAGCTTCTTTCTAGTTTTTATCTATCTGAAGATGATTCCTTTTTCACCATATCCTCAATGTGCTCCTAAATATCCTTTCACAGATTTGACAAAAATAGTGTTTCCAAACTGCCAAATGAAAAAAAAGTTTCAACTCTACAAGATGAATACACACATCTCAAAATGGTTTCTCAGATAACTTCCTTCTAGTTTTTATCATGGGATATTTCCTTTTTCACCATTGGCCTGTGAGCTCCCAAATATCCATTTACAGAATGGACAAAAACAGTGTTTCTAAACTGCTGAATCCACAGAAAGATTTAACTCTATTAGATGAATGCACACATCATGAAACAGTTCCTCAGAAACCTTCTTTTTAGTTTTTATCTGAAGATATTTCCTTTTTCACCTTAGGCCTCAATGCACTTGCAAATATCCTGTAACACATTGTACAAAAACAGTGATTCCAAACTGCTGAATGAAAAGAATGGTTTAACTCTGTGAGATGAATGCATTCCTCAGAAGTTTCCTTCTACTTTTTATCCAGAGGTATTCACTTTTTTGCCATTGTCCTCAATGAGGTCCCTAATGTCCACATGCAGAATGTACAAAAACAATGTTTCAAGACTGCTGAATCCAAAGGAAGTTTTAATTCTGTGAGATGAATGCATAACTCACAAAGCAGTTTTTCAGAAAGCTTATTTCTAGTTTTTATCTAAAGATGTTTCCTTTTTCACCATAGGACTCAACTTGCACTAAAATATCCCTTCACATGTTCTACAAAAACAGTGTTTCCAAACTGCTGAATGAAAAGAAAAGTTTAACACTGTGAGACGAATGCACACGTCACTAAATGGTTTCTCAGATTGCTTCCTTTTAGTTTCTGTGCTGGGTTATTCACTTTTTCAACTTTGGCCTCAATGAACTCTCAAATGTCCATTTGCAGAATGGACAAAAAGAGTGTTTCCAAACTGCTGAATCAAAAGAAATGTGTAATTCTGGGAGATGAATGCACACATCACAAAGCAGTTTCTTAGAAAGCTTATTTCTAGTTTTTATCTGAAGATGTTTCCTTTTTCACCAGAGGCCTCAAGGTGTTCAAAAATATAGCACAGCAGTTTCTACAAAAACAGTGGTTCCAATCTGCTGAATGAACTCAAAGATATAAGTCTGCGAGATGAATGCACACCTCACAGTGCTGTTACTGAGATACCTTCCTTCTAGTTTGAGTACTGGAAATTCACTTTTTATCGATAGGCCTCAATGACCTCCCAAATGTCCATTTGCAGAATGGAAAAAACCAGTTTTTCCATACTGCTGGATCCAAAGAAAGTCTTACCTCTGTGAGATGAATGCTCACATCACAAAGCAGTTTCTCAGAAACCTTCTTTCTAATTTTTAACTGAAGATGTTTCCTTTTTCACCATAGGACAAAAGCCTTCCCAAATATCCCCTTGCAGATTCCATGAAAACAGTTTTTCCAAACTGCTGAATGAAAAGAAAGATTTAACTCTGTGAGATGAATGCACACATCACAAAGCATTCCCTTAGATAGCCTCCTTCTAGTTTGTATCCTCGGGTATTCACTTTTTTGCCATTGGCGTCAATGAGGTCACAGATATCCATTCATAGAATGGATAAAAACAGTGTTTCCAGACTGCTGCATCCAAAGACAGGTTTAGCTCTGCGAGATGAATGCACACATCACAAAGCAGTTTCTCAGAAAGCTTCTTTCTAGTTTTTAACTGAAGATATTTCCTTTTTCACCATAGGCCTCAATGTGCTCCCAAATGTCCCTTTGAAGATTCTTAAAAAAGAGTGTTTCCAAACTGTTGAAAGAAAAGAAAGGTTTAACTTTGCAAGATGAATACACACACCACTAAGCTGTTTCTCAGATAGCTTCCTTCTACTTTTTATACTTAGATATTTGCTTTTTCACATTTGGCACCAATGAGCTCCCAAATGTCCATTTGCAGAATAGACAAAGGGAGTGTTTTCAAACTGCTGAATCAAGAGAAAGGTTTAACTCTGTGAGATGAATGCTCACATTACAAAGCAGCTTCTCAGAAAACTTCTTTCTAGTTTTTATTTGAAGATGTTTTGTTTTTCACCATAGGCCTCAATGCACTCCGAAATATCCCTTCACAGATTCTACAAAAACAGTGTTTGCAAACTTCCGAAGGAAAAGAAATATTTAACTCTCTGAGATGAATGCACATATCTCAGAGGGGTTTCCCTGATACCTTCCTTCTAGTTTTTATCCAGGGATATTCTGACAAAACAGAGTTTCCAAACTGCTGAATGAAAAGAAAGGTTTAACTCTGTGAGATGAATGCCCACATCACAAAGCAGTTTCCCAGAGATCTTCCTTCTAGTTTTTATCCTGGGATATTCACTTTTTCACAATTGGCCTCAGTGAGCTCCCAAATGACCATTCGCAGAATAGACAAAAGCAGTGTTTCCAAACTGCAGAATCCAAGGAAAGTTTTAATTGTGAGAAGAAGGCACACATCACAAAGCAGTTTCTCTGAGAGCTTCTTTCTAGTTTTTATCTGAAGATATTTCCTTTTCACCATAGGCCACAATACACTCCAAAATACCCCTTCGCAGATTCTACATAAACAGTGTTACCAAACTGCTGAATGAATAGAAAGGTTTAACTCTGTGAGGTGAATGAACACATCACAAAGTGGCTTCTCACAGAGATTCCTTCTAGTTTTTATAGTGGTATATTCACTTTTTCACCATTGGCCTCAATGAATTCCCAAATGTCCATTCACAAAATGGACAAAAACTGTGTTTTCAACCTGCTGAACGCAAAGAAATGTTTAACACTGTGAGATGAATGTACATATCAGACATCTGCTTCTCAGAAAGCTTCTTTCTATTTTTTATCTGAAGATGATTCCTTTTCACCATAGGCCTCAATGTGCTCCCAAATATCCCTTCACAGTTCCTACAAAAACAATGTTTCCAAACTGATGAATGAAAAGTAAAGTTTAACTCTGCAAGCTGAATGCACACATCACAAATTGGTTTCTTAGATAGCATCATTCTAGCTTTTATCCTGGGATATTTGCTTTTTTGCCATTGGCCTCAATGAGCTCCCAAATGTCCATTAGCAGAATGGACAAAGCCAGTGTTTCCAAACTGATGAATCCAAAGATATGTTTAACTCTGTGCTGTGAATGCACAAATTACAAAGCAGGGGAGACAGAGAATATGGAACACAGCAGATACAACTAAATATAGCATTATTAACTTTAAATTTCTGAGCCTGCTCAAAGGCCAGATGTTTTCAGCAGCTGAACAGCACCTACAGAAACCAGCTACAAAGACAGAAGCAGAATAACTGATTTGGCAGAGAGATCTGATTAGAAAATGTTGGGAAATAGGCAAAATCATAACTTGGGGTAGAGGTTATGCTTGTGTTTCTCTAGGCCAAAATCAACACCAGATTTGGTTACCATCAAGACACCTGAAACCTTATCATGAACAAGATTCTGAGGAGGAGACTCTGGGAGGATCCCGAGGACCCCCTGGTTGCAGCCATGTTGAGACTGATGCTGAGGTGGAGTCCAACTGTCATGAGCAACACCCATCAAACACAGCCACCAACCCGGGAACAGATCAAGAAGTTGTCACAGATGGAGGAAGAAAACCTGAGAAAAGTGGGACAACCAGTCACACTGTATAATTTAATGGTAGCTATGATAGCAGTTATTACCACTGTCAGGAGCATTCCTTCAAGAAGGGCTGACACAGGAACAATTATACTTATTGGGCATATTGATCAATCTTGGCTGGCAATAATGCCTGAATGCAATCACTCTATGATGCAGTTAAACAAGCTCTCTGATCTCAGTATTTACCATAATAAATCTGCTCCTATAATTGAGGCCTACCTCCCTCAATAACCTATTTGTAAACAAAATTGAACCTGGCCAGAAAATATGAACGTACTTGTTTAGGAAGATTGCATTGCAGAACAGGCAGAAATGCTGGACAATGATACCTGTGGAATCATTATTGATTGATCCCCTAAGGGGACGTTTAACTTGAATTGCACCTCTCAGTCTACATGTCATGGCCACACTATGTTTAGCTGGTCTGAACAAAATGGTCGGATGGTAGATATAATAAAAGTATGGGAAGAGTTCCTATTATCTGGAATCATGGCAGTATAGTGGATTTGTGGAAACTATTAATAGTTTCCTGTCTTTGCTTTTGTCAATTTGCAAATCAAAGAACTGGGACATGTTGGGAGCAAGACCCAAAATCCAGCCATAAACTGGCCCCAAAACTGGCCATAAACAAAATATCTGCAGCACTGTCACATGTTCATGATGGCCCTAATGCCCATGCTGGAAGGTTCTGGGTTTACTGGAATGAAGGCATGGGACATCTGGCTTGCCCAAGGCAGAAAACAGCTTAAAGTCATTCTTAAACTGCAAACAATAGCATGAGCGGAGTGGTCTGTGCCTTAATGGCATGCTTCTGCAGCAGATGACTAGCCAGATCCACAACTTTATTTCAGCCCATCCCTTCGTTTCCAATAAGGGATACTTTTAGCTACTCAAATATCTGTAGAAACAATGCTAATGATTGGTTTGCTGTTATTAAACTTGTGAGTAAATCTCTGTTTGGAGCTCTCAGCTCCGAAGGATGTGAGACCCTTGATTTCCCACTTCACCCCTCTATATTTCTCTGTGTGTCTTTAATTCCTCTAGCGCTGCTGGGTTAGGGTCTCCCCAACTGAGGTGGTCTCAGCAATGTTTCCTTTTACACCATAGTCATCAGTGTGCTCCCAAATATTTCTTCACAGATTCTACAAAAACAGAGTTTCCAAAATGTTGAATGAAAAGAAAATGTTTAAATCTGCGAGATGAATGCACACATCACAAAGAATTTTATCAGCTAGCTTCCTTCCAGTTTTTATCCTGGGATATTTGATTTTTCACCGTTGGCCTAAATGAGCTTACAGATGTCCATTTGCAGAATGGACAAAAACAGTGTTTCCAAACTGCTGAAACAAAAGAAAGCTTTAACTCTGAGAGATGAATGCACACATCAAAAAGAGGTTTCTCAGAAAGTTTTCTCTAATTTTTATCTGAAGATATTTCCTTTTTCAACATAGGCATCTATGCGCTCCCAAATATTCTATGAGAGATTTTACAAAAACGCTGTTTCCAAACTGCTGAATGAAAAGAGTTGTTTAACTGTGTGAGATGAATGCACACATCACAAAGTGGTTTCTCAGATATCTTCCTTCTAGTATTAGTATGGGATATTCCTTTTTTCACCATTGGCCTCAATGAGCTCCCAAATGTTCATTTGCAGAATACGCAAAAACAGTGTTTCCAAACTGGTGAATCAAAAGAAATGTTAAACTCTGTTACTTAAATACACACATCACAAAACAAGTTCTCAGAAAGCTTCTTTCTAGTTTTTATCTGAAGTTATTTTCTTTTTCACTTTAGGCCTCAATGCACTCCCAAATATCCCTTCACAGTTTGTACAAAAACAGTGTTTCCAAACTGCTGAATGAAAAGAAATGTTTAAATCTGTGAGATGAATGCACACATCACACAGCGGTTTATCAGATAGTGTCCTTCCAGTTTTTATCCTGGGCTACTCAAGTTTTGGCATTGGCCTCAATGAGCTCCCAAATGTCCATTTGCAGAATGGACAAAAATAGTGTTTCCAAACTGATGAATCAAAATAAAAGTTTAACTCTATGAGATGAATGCACACATCACAAAGCTGTTTCTCAGAAAATTTCTTTCTAGTTTTTATCTGAAGATGTTTCCATTTTTCACCATAGGTCTCAATGTGCTCCCAAAAGTCCATTAGCAGAATAGACAAAAAGAGTGTTTCCAAACTGATGGATCAAAAGAAAGGTTTAACTCTGTAAGATGAATGCACACATCACAAAGCAGTTTCTCAGAAAGCTTCTTATAGTTTTTATCTGAAGAAGTTTTCTTTTTCACCATAGGCCTCAATGTGCTCCCAAATATCCCTTCGCAGATTCTACAGAAACAGTGTTTCCCAACTGCTGAATGAAGTGAAAGTTTTAACTCTGTGACATTAATGAACACATTACAAAACGATTTCTTAAGTAACTTCCTTTTAGTTTTTAATATGGGATATTTCCTTTTTCACCATTGGCCTCAGTGAGCTCCCAAACATCAATTTGCAGAATGGACAAAAACTGTTTCCAAACTGCTGAATCAAAAGAAAGTTTTACCTCTGTGAGAAAAATGTACACAACACAAAGCCATTTCTCAGAAAACTTCTTTCTAGTTTTTATCTGAAGATGTTTCCTTTTTCACCATAGGTCTCAATGCACTCCCAAATATCCACTCAGAGATTCTAAAAAAAGTGTTTCCAAACTGCTGAATGAAAAGAAAGGTTTAACTCTGGGAGGTCAATGCACACATCAGAGAGCAGTTTCTCAGGTAGCTTCCTTCGAGTTTTTATCCAGAGATACTTGCTTTTTCACCATTGGCCTCAATGAGCTCCCTAATATCCATAAGCAGAATGGGCAATAATACTGTTTCAAAGCTGCTGAATCCAAAGAAAATTTAAATCTGTGAGACCAATGCACACATCATGAAGCAGTTTCTCAGAAATCTTCTTTCTAGTTTTTATCCAAAGATATTTACTTTTCTCCATAGGCTTCAGTGCACTCGCATATATCCCTGTGAAGATACAAAAAAAAAAAAAAAAACAGTGTTGCTGAACTGCTGAATGAAAAGAAAGGTTTAACTCAGCGAGATTAATGCACTCATCAGAAAGCAAATTCTCAGATAGCTTCCTTCTAGTTTTTATCCTGGGATATTCTTTTTTTCGCCATTTGCCTCAAGAGTTCCCAAATGTCCATTCGCAGAGTGGACAAAGCCAGTGTTTCCAAACTGATGAATCCAAAGAAATGTTTAACTCTGTGAGGTGAATGCACACATCACAAAGCAGTGTCTCAGAAAGGTTATTTCTAGTTTTTAACTGAAGATATATTCTTCTTCACCTTAGGCTTCTAGAAACATCCCCTTCCGAAATATCCCCTAGCAGCTTCTACAAATATATTTTTTCCAAACTGCTGAAGGAAGAAACAGGTTTAACTCTGTGAGATGGATGTACACATCACAAACCATTTCCTCAGATAGATTCCTTCTTGTTTTTATCCCAGGATATTTTCTTTTTCACCATTGGCCTCAATGAGCTCCCAAACGTCCATTTGCAGAATAGACAAAAAGAGTGTTTCTAAACTGCTGAATCCAAAGAAATTTTAACTCTGTGAGATGAATGCACACATCACTAAGCAGTTTCTTAGAAAGCTTCTTTCTAGTTTTTATCTGAAGATGTTTCCTTTTGCAACATAAACCTCAAAGAGCTCCAATATATCCCTTTGCAGATTCCACAAAAACAGGGTTTCCAAACTGCTGAATGAAAAGAAAGGTTTTACTCTCTGAGATTCTACCAAAGCATTATTTCCAGACTGCTGAATGAAAAGAAAGCTTTAACTTGGCAAGGCGAATGAATACATCACAAAGCAGGTTCTCAGATATCTTCTTTCTAGTTTTTATCCTGGGATATTCACTTTTTCGCCATTGGCTTCAATGAGCTCCCAAATGTCCATTCACAGAATGGACAATAACGGTGTTTCCAAACTGCTGAATGCACAGAAACGTTTAACTCTGTTAGGTGAATGCAAACATCACAAAGCAGTTTCTCAGAAAGCTTCTTTCTAGTTTTTATCTGAAGATATTTCCTTTTTCACCATAGGCCTCAAGGTGCTCCCAAATATCCCTTAGCAGATTCTGTGAAAACAGTGTTTCCAAACCACTGAATGAAAGGCAAGGTTTAACTCTGAGACTTGAATGTACACATCACAAAACAGTTTCTCAAAGAGCTTCCTTCTATTTTTTGCCCTGGGATATTCGATTTTTGCCTTTGGCCTCAAAGAGCTCCCAAATGTACATTTTCAGAAAGGATTAAAAACAGTTTTTGCAAGCTCCTTAACCCAATAAAAGGTTGAACTCTGTGAGATGAATGCACATATCATAAAGCAGTTACTCTGAAGGCTTCTTTCTAATTTTTATCTGAAGGTATTTCCTTTTTCACCATATGCCTCAAAGTGCTCCCAAATAACCCTACATAGATTCCAGGAAAACAGTGTTTCCAAACTGCTGAATGAAAAGAAAGGTTTATCTCTGTTAGTTGAATACACAAATCATGAAGCATTTTCTCATATAGCTTCTTTCCAATTTTTAAACTGAAGAGATTTCCTCTTTCACCATAAGCCTCAATGCTGCCCCAGATTTCACTCTGCAGGTTCTAAGAAAACAGTGTTTCCAGACTGCTGAATGAAAAGTAAGTTTTATCTCTGTGAAGTGAAAGCAAACATCACAAAGTGGTTTCTCAGATAGCTTCTTTCAATTTTTTAATCCTTTGATATTCGCTGTTTTGCCATTGGAGTCAATGAGCTCCCAAATGTCCATTCACAGAACGGACAAAAACAGTGTTTGGAAACTTCAGAATCCAGAGAAATGTTTACTTCCATGAGGTGAATGTGCACATCACCAAGGAGTTTATCAGAAAGCTTCTTTCTAGTTTTTATCTGAAGATATTTCCTTTTTCACCATAGGCCTCAAGTCACACCAAGATATCACTCCACATATTCTACGAAAACAGTTTTTCCAAAATGCTGAGTTAAAAGAAAGGTTTAACTCTGCAACATGAATGGACACATCAAAAAGTGGTTTCTCAAATAGCTTCCTACCAGTTTTTTTCTGTGATATTTGCTTTTTCACCTTTGGCCTCAATGAGCTCCCAAATATTACTTTACAGATAATAAAACAACAGTGTTTCCAAACTGCTGAATTCAATGAAATGTTTAACTCTGTGACATGAATGTACACATTGCAAAGCATTTTCTCAGAAAAATTCTTATTAGTTTTTATCTGAATATATTTTCTTGTTCAGTATAGGCATAATGCACTTCCAAATATCCCTTCACAGATTCTGCCAAAAGAGTGTTTCCAGACTGCTGTATGAAAATAAAGTTTTAACTTTGTGAAATGAATGCAATCATCACAAAGTGGTTTCTCAGATAACTGCTTTCTAGATTTATCCTGGGATGTTCACTTTTTGGCCACTTGCCTCAATGAGCTCCTAAATGTCCATTCCCAAAATAGACAAAAACAGTTTGTGCAAACTGCTGAATCCACAGAAAGGTTTACTTCAGTGAAGTGAATGCACACGTCACAAAGTAGTTTCTCAGAAAGCTTCTTTCTAGTTTTTTTCTGAAGATATTTCCTCTTTCACCATACCCCTCAATGTGCTCACAGATTTCCCATCTCAGATTCTAGGAAAACAGTGTTTCCAAATTGCTGAATGAAAAGAAAATTTTATCTCTCCAAGGTGAATGCTCACATCACAAAGCAGTTTCTCAAATACCTTCCTTGTAGTTTTCATCCTGGGATATTCACTTTTTTGCCATTGACCACAAAAGTTCCCAAAAGTCCAGTCACAGACTGAACAAAAACTGTGTTTGCAAACTACTGAATTCACAGAAATGTTGAACTCTGTGAGAATAATGCATGCATCGCAAAGCAGTTTCTCAAAATGCTTCTTTCTAGTTTTTATCTTAAGCTATTTCCATTTTCACCATAGGCCTCAATGTGCTCCCAAATACTACTTCGTAGATTCTATGAAAACCATGCTTCCCAACTGCTGAATGAAAATAAAGTCTTATCTCTGGGAGATGAATGCACACATGACAAAGTGGTTTCTCAGATAGCTTCCTTCTATTTTTTTTTCCTGGGATATTCGCTTTCTTGCCTTTGGCCTCATTAAGCTTCAAAATTTCCCCTCACAGATTGTAAAAAAACAGTGTTTCCAAACTGCTGAATCCAAATAAAATTTAACTCTATGGGATAAATGAATATATCACAAAACAGTTTCTCAGAAAGCTTCTTACCAGTTTTTATCAGATGATATTTCCTTTTTCAGCATAAGCTTCAATGTGCTTCCAGATATCCATTCACAGATTCTGCCAAAAGAGTGTTTCCAGACTACAAAATGAAAAGAAGGGTTTATCTCTGTGAAGTGAATGCACACATCACAAAGCAGTTTCTCCAAGATAGCATCCTTCTAGTTTTATCCTGGGATATTCCCTTTTTCTTCATTGGCCTCATTGTGCTCCCAAATGTCCACATACAGAATGGACAACACCAGTGTTTGCAAACTGCTGAATCCACAGAAAGGTTTAACACTGTGAGATGAAGGCACACGTCACAAAGAAGTTCCTCAGAGAGCTTCTTTCTAGTTTTTATCTGAAGATACTTCCTTTTTCACCCTAGTCCTCAATGCAATCCCAGATATCTCTTTGCAGAATCTACAAAAACTGTTTCCAAACTGCTGAATGAAAAGACAAGTTTAAATCTGTGAGATGAATACACACATCACAAGGCTGTTTCTCAAGTAGTTTTCTTCTAGTTTTTATCCTGGGATATTCCCTTTTTTGCCTTTGTCCTCAATGAGGTCCCAAATATCCCTTCACTGATTCTACAACAAGAGTGTCTTTTTTCTTTCTAACATTTGGGATTTATTTAATGCAAATCTAATAGTATTCAGGATTAGCCAGTTATGATAATCAGACTGGTAGGATAATTTTCAGCTTTTTTTTTTAAATATATACTTTAAGTTCTGGGTTACATGTGCAGAACATGTAGTTTTGTTACATAGGTATAAATGTGCCATAGTGGTTTGCTGCACACATCAATCCGTCACCTACATTAGGTATTTCTCCTAATGTTATCCCTCCCCTAGCTCCCCACCCCCTATAGGTCCCTGTGTGTGATGTTCCCTCACTCTGTTCTTGTATTCTCATTGTTCAACTCCCACTTATGTGTGAGAACATGCAGTGTTTTGTTTTCTGATCTTGTGGTAGTTTGCTGAGAATGATGGTTTCCAGCTTTATTCATGCCCCTGCAAAGGACATGAACTCCTCCTTTTTTGTGGCTGCATAGTATTCCATGGAGTACATGTGCCACATTTTCTTAATGCAGTCTATCATTGATGGACATTTGGGTTGTTTCCAAGTCTTTGCTTTTGTGAATAGTGCTGCAATAAACAAACATGGTTTACAGTTCTTTGGGTATATGCCCAGTAATGGGATTGCTGGGTCAAATGGTATTTCTATTTCTAGATCCTTGAGGAATTGCCACACTGTCTTCCACAATGGTTGAAGTCAAATTCTCCCTGTTTGCAGATGACATGATTGTATATCTAGAAAACCCCACTGTCTCAGCCCAAAATCTCCTTAAGCTGATAAGCATTTTAAGCAAAGTCTCAGGATCCAAAATCAATGTACAAAAATCACAAGCATTCTTATACACTGATAACAGACAAACAGAGAGCCAAATCGTGAGTGAACCCCCATTCACAATCACCTCAAAGAGAATAAAATACCTAGGAATCCAACTTGCAAGGGATATGAAGGACCTCTTCAAGGAGAAGTACAAACCACTGCTCAATGAAATAAAAGAAGATACAAACAAATGGAAGAACATTCCATGTTCTTGAGTAAGAAGAATCAATATCATGAAAATGGCCATACTGCCCAAGGTAATTTATAGATTCAATGCCATCCCCATCAAGCTACCAATGACTTTCTTCACAGAATTGGAAACAACTAATTTAAAGTTCATATGGAACCAAAAAAGAGCACGCATGACCAAGTCAATCCTAAGCCAAAAGAACAAAGCCAGAGGCATCACGCTACCTGACTTCAAACTATACTACAAGGCTACAGTAACCAAAACAGCATGGTACTGGTACCAAAACAGAGATATAGATCAATGGAACACAACAGAGCCCTCAGAAATAATGTCACATATCTACAACCATTTGATCTTTGACAAACCTGAGAAAAACAAGCAATGGGGAAAGGATTTCCTATTTAATAAATGGTGCTGGGAAAACTGGCTAGCCATATGTAGAAAGCTGAAACTGGATCCCTTCCTTCTACCTTATACAAAAATTAATTCAAGATGGATTAAAGACTTGTATGTTAGACCTAAAACCATAAAAACCTTAGAAGAAAACCTAGGCAATACCGTTCAGGACATAGGCATGGGCAAGGACTTCATGTCTAAAACACCAAAAGCAATGGCAATAAAGGCCAAAATAGGCAAAAAGGATCTAATTAAACTAAAGAGCTTCTGCACAGCAAAAGAAACTACCATCAGAGTGAACAGGAAACCTACAGAATGGTAGAAAATTTTTGCAACCTGCTCATCTGACAAAGAGCTAATATCCAGAATCTACAATGAACTCAAACAAATTTACAAGAAAAAAACAAACAACCCCATCAAAAAGTAGGCAAAGGATATGAACAGACACTTCTCAAAAGAAGACATTTATGCAGCCAAAAAACACACGAAAAAATGCTCATCATCACAAGCCATCAGAGAAATGCAAATCAAAACCACAATGAGATACCATCTCACACCAGTTAGAATGGTGATCATTAAAAAGTCAGGAAACAACAGGTGCTGGAGAGGATGTGGAGAAATAGGAACACTTTTACACTGTTGGTGGGACTGTAAACTAGTTCAACCATTGAGGAAGTCAGTGTGGCAATTCCTCAGGGATCTAGACTAAAAAAACCATTTGACCCAGCTATCCCATTACTGAGTATATACCCAAAGGATTATAAATCATGCTGCTATAAAGACACATGCACACGTATGTTTATTGTGGCACTATTCACAATAGCAAAGACTTGGAACCAATCCAGATGTCCAACAATGATAGGCTGGATTAAGAAAATGTGGCACATAATACACCATGGAATACTATGCAGCCATAAAAAATGATGAGTTCATGTCCTTTGTAAGGACATGGATGAAACTGGAAACCATCAATCTCAGCAAAATATCGCAAGGACAAAAAACCAAACACCACATGTTCTCACTCATTGCTGGGAATTGAATAATGAGAACACATGGACACAGGAAGGGGAACATCACACTCTGGGGACCGTTGTGGGGTGCGGGGAGAGGGGAGTGATAGCATTAGGAGATATACCTAATGCTAAATGATGAGTTGATGGGTGCAGCACACCAACGTGACACATGTATACATGTGTAACAAACCTGCACATTGTGCCCATGTACCCTAAAACTTAAAGTATAATAATAATAATAATAAAATCAAAAAAAATTCAGGAAACAACAGATGCTGGAGAGGTTGTAGAAAAATAGGAATATTTAACAACAGTGTTTTGAAACTGATGAATCATCAGAAAGGTTTATGCCTCAACGCATTCTCAAATATCCATATGCAGGCACTGCAAAAACAGTGTTTTCAGACTGCTGTGTGGAAAGAAGGTTTTAATTCTATAATGTGAATGCACACACCACAAAGTGTTTTCTCAGATAGCGTCATTCTTCATTCTAGTATTTATTTATAATGGGATATTCACTTTTTCGCCATTGACCTTGATAAGCTCCCAAATGTTTATATGCTGAATGGGGAAAAAAAAACCAGTGTTTCCAAACTGCTGAATCCACGGAAACGTTTAACTCTGTTAGGTGATTGCACACATCCCAAAGCAGTTTCTCAGAAAGCTTCTTTCAAGTTTTTATTTGAAGATATTTCCTTTCTCACCATAGGTCTCAATGCACTTCAAATTTAACTTTGAAGATTCTACAAAAAAGAGTGTTTCCAAATTGCTGAATGAAAAGAATGCTTTAAATCTGAGAGATGAATTCACTGATCACAAAGCAGATTCTCAGATAGCTTCCTTGTAGGTTTTTCCTGGACATTCGATCTCTCACTTTGGCCTTATTAGGCTCCAAAATATCCCTTTGCAGCATCTGCAACAACGGTGTTTCCAAACTGCTGAATCCAAAGAAAGGTTTAACTGTGTGAGATGAACGGACACATCACAAAGCAGTTTCTCAGAAAGCTTCTTTATAGTTTTTGTCTGAAGATATTTCCTTTTTCACCACAGACCACAATGTGCTCACAGATATCCCTTCACAGATTCTACAAAAACAGTGTTTCCAAACTGGAGAATAAAAGCAAGATTTAAACCTCTGAGATGAATGCAAACATCACAAAGCCTTTTCTCAGGTAGCTTCCTCCTAGATTTTATCCTGGGATAATCCCTTTTTCAACTTTGGCCTCAAAAAGCTCCTAAATAACCCATTGCAGGTTCTACAACAGTAGTGTTTCCAAACTGCTGATCCAAAGAAAGATGTAACTTTGTGAGATGAATGCACACATTACAAAGCAGGATCTCAGAAAGCTTCTTTCTAGTTTTTATCTGAAGTTATTTCCTTTTTCACCATTGTTCTCAATTCGTTCCCAAATATCCCTTCGTGGATTCTGCAAAAACAGTGTTACCATACTGCTGTATGACAAGAAAGTTATGACTCTGCAAGGTGATTGCACACATCCCAAAGCAGCTTCTCAGATTCCTTCTTCCTATTTTTTATCCTAGGATATTTGCTTTTTCGCCATTGGACTCAATGTTCTCCTAAGTGGCCAACTGCAGAATGGACAGAAACAGTGTTTGCAAAGTGCTGCATCCAAAGAAAGGTTTAACTCTGTGAGATAAATGCACACATCACCTAGCAGTTTCTCAGAAAGCTTCCTTCTATTTTTTTTCTGTATGTGTTTCCTTTTTCACCATAGGCCACAGTATGCGCCCAGATATCACTTCACAGATTCTATGAAAACCTTGTTTTCAAACTCTTGAATTAAAAGAAAGTTTTAGCTCTGTGAGATAAACGTACACATCACAAAGTGGTTTCTCAGAGAGCTTCCTTCTAGTTCTTGTCCTGGAATATTCCATTTTTTGCCATTGGCCTGAAAGAGCTCCCAAATGTCCATTCCCAGAAAGAACAAAAACAGTGTTTGTAAACTGCTGAATCCAAAGAAAGTTTCAAATCTGTGAGATGAATGCACACATCACAAAGTAGTTTTTCAGAAAGCTTCTTTCCAGTTTTTATCTGAAGATATTTCCTTTTTCACCATGGGCATAAATGCACTGTCAAATAAAACTTCACAGATTCTACAAAAACAGTGTTTCCAAACTACTGAATGAAAATAATGTTTTAATTCTGAGAGATGAATGCACACATCACTTAGCGGTTTCTAAGGTATCTTCCTCCCCATTTTCTTCCTGTGATATTCGGTTTTTCCCCTTTGGCCTGGGTTTTTCCCCAAATATCCCTTTGCATATTCTACAACAACAGTGTTTCAAAACTGCTGAATCCAAAGAAAAGTTTAACTCTGTGAGAAGAATGCACAAATCATAAACATTTTCCCAGAAAGCTTCTTTCTAGTTTTTATCTGAAGATATTTACTTTTTCTCCATAGGCCCCAATGTGCTTCCAAATATTCCTTGATGGATTCTGCAAAGCAGTTTTTCCAGACTGCTGAATTAAAAGAATGTTTTAAATCTATGAGGTGAATGTGGACATCACAAAGTGCTTTCTCAGACAGCTCCCTTCTAGTTTTTTTCCCGGGATATTGGATTTTTTGCCATTGGCCTCAAAGAGCTCCCAAATGTCCATTTGCAGAATGGACAAAAACAGTGTTTACAAACTCCTTAACCCACATAAAGGATTAACTCTGTCAGGTGAATGCAGACACCACAAAGCAGCTTCTCAGAAAGCTTCTTTCTAGTTTTCATGAGCAGATATTTCGTTTTTCACCATAGTCCTCAATGCACTCCAAGATATCCCTTAGCAGATTATGCGAGAAAGGTGTTTCAAACTGCTGAATTAAAATAAATTTTTAAATCTTTGGGATGAATGTGCACAACACAAAGCAGTTTCTCAAATAACTTCCTTCTAGCTTTTATCATGGGATATTCACTTTTTTGACATTGGCCTCAATGAGCTCCCAAATATCCCTTCGAAGATTCTACAAATACAGTGTTTCCAAACTGCTGAATTCAAAGAAATTTTTAACACTGTGAGATGAATGCACACATCACAAAGCAGTTTCTCAGAAAGCTTCTTTCTACTTATTTGAAGTTATTTCCTTTTTGTCCATAGGTCTCATTGCACTCCCAAATATCCCTTGGTGGATTCTGCCAAAACAGTGTTTCCAGACTGCTGTAAAACAGAAAGATTTAACTCAGTGAGGTGAATGCACACATCACAAAGCAGTTTCTCATATAGCTTCTTCCCAGTATTTATAATGGGATATTCACTTTTTCACCAATGACATCAATGAATTCCAAAATGTTTATTCGCTGAATGGGAAAAAACAGTGTTTCCAAACTGCTGCATCCACAGAAGCGTTTATCTGTGTTAGGTGAATGCGCACATCACAAATCAATTTCTCAGAAAGCTTCTTTCTAGTTTTTATTTGAAGATATTTTCTTTTTCACCATAGGTCTCAGTGCACTCCCAACAAATTGCTGAGTGAAAAGAAAGGTTTAACTCTGAGAGATGAATGCACCAATCACAAAGCAGCTTCTCAGATAGCTTCCTTGTAGTTTTTATCCTGGGACATTTGATTTCTCAACGTTGGCCTTATCAGGCTCTGAAATATCCCTTTGCAACATCTGCAACAATGGTGTTTCCAAACTGCTGAATCCAAAGAAAGGATTAACTCTGTGAGATGAATGGACACATCACAAAGCAGCTTCTCAGGAAGCTTCTTTATAGTGTTTATCTGAAGATATTTTCTTTTTCACCATAGGCCACAATGTACTCACAGACATCCCTTCACAGATTCTATGAAAACAATGTTTCCAAGCTGGAGAATGAAAAGAAAGATTTAAATCTGTGAGATGAATGCAAACACCACAAATCTGTTTCTCAGATTGCTTCCTCCTAGATTTTATCCTGGGATAATTGCTTTTTCAACTTTGGCCTCAAAAACTTCTAAATATCCGTGTGCAGATTCTACACAATAGTGTTTCCAAACTGCTGAATCCAAAGAAAGATTTAACTTTGTGAGATGAGTGCACATATCACAAAGCAGGTCCTCAGAAAGATTCTTTCTAGTTTTTATCTGAAGGTATTTCCTTTTTCACCATTGTTCCCAAATATCCCTTCATGGATTCTGCAAAAACAGTATTTCCATACTGTCATATGACAAGAAAGTTATGACTCTGCAAGGTGATTGCACACATCCCAAAGGAGTTTCTGAGATTCCTTCTTTCAATTTTTTATCCTAGGGTATTTGCTTTTTCAGCATTGACCTCAATGTTCTCTTAAATGTCCAATTGCAGAATGGACAGAAACAATGATTGCAAACTGCTGAATCCAAAAAAAGGTTTAACTCTGTGAGATGAGTGCACACATCACCAAGAAGTTTCTCAGAAAGCTTCCTTCTAGGTTTTTTCTGAATAGATTTCCTTTTTCACCATAGGCCACCATGTCCTCCCAGATATCATTTTGCAGATTCAAGGAAAACACTGTTTCCAAACTCCTGAATGAAAAGAAAGTTTTAACTCTGTGAGATGAATACACACATTGAAAAGTGGTTTCTGAAAGAGTTTCCTTCTAGTAATTATCCTGGGATATTCCTTTTTATGTCATTGGCTTCAAAGAGCTCCCAAATGTCCATTCCCAGAATGAATAAAAACAGGGTTTGCAAACTGCTGAATCGAAAGAATGGTTTACCTCTGTGAGATGAATGCATACATCACAAAGCAGTTTCTCAGAACACTTCTTTCTTATTTTATCTGAAGATATTTCCTTTTTCACTGTTGGCCTCAATGAGCTCCCAATATACCTTCGTGTTTTCTGCCAAAAGAGTGTTTCCATACTCTTGAATGAAAAGAAAGCTTTATCTCTGTGAGGTGAATGCACACATCACAAAGTTGTTAATCAGATAGTTTCCTTGCAGTTTTTCCTTGGGATATTTCCTTTTTCACCACTGGCCTCAATAAGCTCCCAAATGTCCAGTCGCAGAATGGACAAAAACAGTGTTTGCAAACTGCTGAATCAACAGAAAGTTTTAATTCTGTGAGATGAATGCACACATCACAAAGCAGTTTCTCAGAAAGCTTCTTTCTAGTTTTTATCTGTAGATATTTCCTTTTTCACCATGGGCATCAATGCACTCCCAGATTTCCCTACATAGATTCTACAAAAGCTGTGTTTATAAACTGCTGAATGAAAAGAAAGGTTTAACTCTGTGAGATGAATGTGCACATTCCAAAGCAGATTCTCCTATAGCTTGCATCTAGTTTTTATATTGGGATATTCATTTTTTCACAATTCACCACAAAGATCTCCCAAATATCCATTTGCAGAATGGAAAAAGAAATATATAACTCTGTGAGATGAATGCACACACCACAAAGCAGTTTCTTAGAAAGTTTTTTGTAGTTTTTATCTGAATATATTTCCTTTTTCACCATAGGCCTCAATGAGCACAAAATAGAACTTTGCACTTTCTACGAAAACAGTGTTTAAAACTGCTGAATGTAAAGAAAGGTTTAACTCTGAGAGATGAATGCACACATCACAAAGCAGTTTCTCAGATAGCATCCTTCTAGTTTTTATCCTAGGGTATTCAATTTTTCAACTTTGGCCTCAAAGAGCTCCCAAATTTACCTTCGTGGATTCTACAACAGTGTTTCCAAAGTGTTGAATACCAAGAAAGTGTAACTATGTGAGATGAATGCACACATCACAAAGGAGTTTCTCAGTATGCTTCTTTCTAGTTTTTATCTGAACATATTTCCTTTTTCACCATAAACCTCGATGCACTTCCAAATATCCCTTCACAGAGTCTGCAAATACAGTGTTTCCAGACTGCTGAATGAACAGAAGCGTTTAACTCTGAAAGGTGAATACACCCATCACAAAGCAGTTTCTCATATAGCTTCACTGTAGTTTTCATCCTGGAATATTCACTTTTTCACCATTGGCCTCAATGAGATCCCAAGTGTCCCTTTGCAGAATGGACAAAAATAGTGTTTGTAAACTGCTGAATACACACGCTGTGAGATGAATGCACACATCACAAAGCAGTTTCTAAGAAAGTTTCTTTCTAGTTTTTATCTGAAGATATCTCATTTATCACCCTAAGCCTCAATGTGCTCCCACATTTCTCTTTGTGGATTGTGAGAAAATAGTATTTCTAGAGTACTGAATGAAAAGCAACGTTTAAATCTGTGAGGTGAATGCATACATCACAAAGCTATTTCTCAGATTGCTTCCTTCTAGTTTTTATCCTGGGATATTCACTTTTTCTTCAATAGTCTCAATGACCTCCAAAATGTCCATTCGCAAAATGAACAAAAACAGATTTTCCGAAATGCTTAATCAAAAGAAAAGTTTAGCTGTGTGAGATGAATGCACAAATCGCCACGCAGCTTCTCAGAAAGTTTCTGCCTAGTTTTTTCTGAAGATATTTCCTTTTTCACCTTAGGCCTCAATGCACCCTAAATATAATTTTGCAGATTCTACAAAAACAGTTTTCCTAAACTGCTGAATGAAAGGAAAGTTTTAACTCTGACAGCTGAATGCACACATCACATATCACTTTTTAAGATAGCTTCCTTATAGTTTTTTTTTCCAGGGATATTCTTTTTTTGCATTTGGCCTCAATGTTCTCGTGAATATTGCTTCACAGATTCTACTAAAACGTGTTTCCAAACTGTGGAATGAAAAGAAATGTTTAACTCTGTGAGATGAATGCACACATCACAAATCGGTTTCACAAATAGCTTCCATCTAGTTTTTATCCTGGAAAATTCTCTTTTTCACCTTAGGCCTCAAAGAGCTCAAAAATGTCCATTCGCAGAATGGAGAAAAACAGGATTTGCAACCTGTTGAATCCACACAAAGGTTTAACTCTGTGAGATGAATGCACACATCACAAAGCTATTTATCAAGAAGTTTCCTTCTAGTTTTTATCTGAAGATATTTCCTTTTTCACTATAGGCGTTTATGTTCTCTAAAATATCCCTTCATGGATTCTGTCAAAACCGTGTATCCAGAATGCTGAATGAAAAGAAAGGTTTAAATCTGTGAGGTGAGTGCCCACATCAAAAAGTGGTTTCTCAGATAGCTTCCTTCTAGTTTTTATCCTGAGATATTCACTTTTTCACCTTTGGCCAGAATGAGCTCCCAAATGTCTTTTCACAGGATGAACAAAAACAATATTTCCAAACTGCTGAATCCGAGAAAGGTTTAACTCTGCGAGGCGAATGCACACATCATAAAGAGGCTTCTCAGAAAGCTATTTTCTATTTTGTATCTGAAGATATTTATTTTTTCACCATAGGCCTCAAGGCCTCAATGCACTCTCTAATATAACTTCGCAGATTCTAAAAAACAGTGTTTCCAAACTGCTGAATGAAAAGAAAGGTATAATTCTGAGAGATGAATGCACAAATCACAAAACTTTTTCTCAGATAGCTTTATTCTTATTTCCTGGGATATTTGCTTTTTCACCTTTGGCATCACTGAGCTCCCAAATATCCCTCCACAGATCCTGCAATAACAGATTTTCCTAACTGCTGAATCACGAGAAATGTTTAACTCTGTGAGATAATTGCACACATCACACAGCAGTTTCTCAGAAAGCTTCTTTCTAGTTTTTATCTGAAGATATGTGCTTTTTCACTTTTGCCTCAGTTGCTTCAAGATATCCCTTCACAGATTCTATAAAAATAGTGTTTGCACACTGCTGAATGAAAAGAAAGTTTAACTCTGTGGGATGAATGCACGTATCACAAAGTGATTTCTCAAATTGCTTTTTTCTAGTTTTTATCTTGGGTTTTTTGCTTTTTCGCCATTGGCCTCAATGAGCTCCCAAAGTGCATTTGCAGAATGCAAATAAACAGGGTTTTCAAACTGCTGAATCCACAGAAAGGTTTAACTGTGAGAGATGAATGAACATATCACAAAGCTGTTTCTCAGATAGCTTCCTTCTAGATTTTTCCTGAGATATTCACTTTTTTTGCCTTTGCCTTCCATGAGCTCCCAAATATCCCTTCACAGATTGTACCAAAAAAGGGTTTCCAAACTGCTGAATCCACTGAAATGTGTAAATCTGTTAGAAGAATGCACACATCACAAAGCAGTTTCTCAGAAAGCTTCCTTCCAGTTTTTATCTGAAGATATTTCTTTTTTCACCGTAGGCCTCAACATGCTCCAAAATATCCCTTAACAGATGCTACTAAAATAATGTTTCCAAACTTCTGAAAAAGAAGAATGGTTTAAATCTCCAAGATGAATAAAGTCATTGCAAAGGGGTTTCTAAAATAGCTTCCTTCTATTTTTAATCTTGGGATATTCCCTTTTTTGCCATTGACCTCAAATAACTACCAAATATCCATTCATGGAATAGACAAAAACAGTGTCTACAAACTGCTGAATTGAAAGAAAGTTTTAACTCTGTAAGACGATGGCACCTATCACAAAAAAGTTTCTCAGAAAGCTTCTTTCTAGTTTTTATCTGAAGGTTATCCCTTTTTCACCATAAGACTCAATGTGCTTCCACATATCCTTTCGTGGATTCTGCCAAAGCAGTGTTTCCAGACTGCTGCATGAAAAGAAAGGTTTAACTCTGCAAGGTGAATGCACACATCACAAAGCTGCATCTCAGATAGCCTCCTTCCAGTTTGTAATCTGGAATACTCATTTTTCACATTTGGCCTCAATGAGCTCCCAAATATCCATTTGCAGAATGCAAAAAAAACAGTATTTGCAAACTGCTGAACCCACAGAAAGGTTTAAATTTGTGAGATGAATGAACACATCAGAGAGCGGTTTCTCAGATAGCTTCCTTTTAGTTTTTTTCCTGGGAAGTTCACTTTTTCATCTTTGGCCTCAATCAGCATCCAAATATCCCTTCACAGTGTCTACAACAACAGTGTTTCCAAACTGTTGAATCCAAAGAAAGGTTTGACTCTGTGAGATAAACGCACACATCATAAAACAGTTTCTCACAAATCTTCTTTCTAGTTTTTATCTGAAGATATTTCCTTTTTCACCATAGGCCCCAATGTGCTCCCAGATATCAATTCACAGACTCTACTAAAACAGAGTTCCCAAACTGCTGAAAGAAAAGAATTGTTTAAATCTGCGAGATGAATGGACACATCATAAAATGGTTTCTCAGATAGTTTTCTTGTAGATTTTACCCTGGATATTCGATTTATCATCTTTGTCCTCAAAGAGCTCCCAAATGTCTATTCATAGAATGGAAAAAAACAGTGTTTAAAAACTGCTGAATCCAAAGAAAGTTTTAACTCTGTGAGATGAATGCACACATCATAAAGCAGTTTCTCAGACAGTTTATTTCCAGTTTTTATCTGATGATATTTCCTTTTTCACCATAGGCTTCAGTGGCCTGTGAAATATCCCATCGCAGATTCTCCCAAAACAGTATTTCCAAACTACTGAATGAAAAAAAAATAATTCTTCAAAATAAATGCAGATTTCAGAAAGAGTTTTCTCAGACAGCTTCCTTCAATTTTTTTTCTTGTGATATTCAGTTTTTAGCCTTTGGCCTCAATGACCTCCCAAGTCTACTTTCACAGATTTTACAACAATAGTGTTTCCAAACTGCAGAATCCATAGAAAGTTTTAACTCTAGGAACTGAAGGCACACATCACAAAGCAGTTTCTCTGAAAGCTTCTTTCTAGTTTTTATCTGAAGATATTTCCTTTTCCACCATGTGCCTTAATGTGCTCCCAAATATTCCTTTGCAGATTCTGCCAAAACTATGTTTCCAGACAGCTGAATGAAAGTAAAGGTTTAACTATCCAAGGTAAATGCACACATCACAAAGCAGTTTCTCAGGTAGCTTCTTTCTAGTTTTTATCATGGGATATTCACTTTATCGCCTTTGGCCATAATGTGCTCCCAAATGTCCAACTGGAGAATGGACAAAAACAGTGTTTGCCAACTGCTGAATCCCCAGAAAACTTTAATTCTGTGAGATGAATGCAGACATCACAAAGCGGTTTCTCAGAAAGTTTCTTTCTAGTTTATGTCTGAAGATATTTCCTTTTTCACCATAGGCCTCAAAGAGCTCCCAAATATCCCTTCACGGATTCTATGAAAACAGTGTTTCCAGATCACTGAATTGAAAGAAAGGTTTAACTCTGTTAGATGAATGCATACATCACAAAGCAGTTTCTCAGATAGCTTCCTTCTAGGTTTTAGACTGGGATATTCCTTTCTTCACCATTGGCCCCAATGAGCTCCCAAATGTCCATTCATAGAATGGACAAAAACAGTGTTTCCAAACTGCTGAATCCAATGGAAGGTATAACTCTGTGAGATGAATGAACACATCACAAAGTAGTTTCTCATAAGGCTTCTTTCTAGCTTTTATCTGAAGGTAATCCCTTTTTCACCATAAGACTCAATGCAATTCACAGATTCTATCTAAACACTGTTTCCAGATAGCTGAATGGAAAGAAATTTCTATCTCTGTGAGGTGAATGCACACATCATCAAGTGGTTTCTCCAATAGATTCCTTCTAGTTTTTATCCCTAGATAGATGCTTTTTCACCATTGGCATCAAAGAGCTACCAAATGTCCATTCACAGAATGGACAAAAACAGTGTTTGCAAACTGCTGAATCCACAGAATAGTTTAACATTGTGAGATGAATGCACACATCACTGAGCAGTTTCTTAGAAAGGTGATTCCTGGTTTTTATCTGAAGATATTTCCTTATTCACCATAGGCCTCAAAGCTCTCTGAAATACAACTTCACAGTCTCTACAAAAATAATGTTTAATACTGCTGAAAGAAAAGGAAGGTTTAACTCAGAGAGATGAATGCGCCTTTCGCAGCCAGGATAAAAACAGTGTTTCCAAATTGCTGAATCCCAAGAAAGGTGTAGCTCTGTGAGATGAATGCACACATCATTATGAAGTTTCTCAGATTCTCCAACAACAGTGTTTCCAAACTGCTGAACCCAAAGAAAGGTTTAACTCTGTGAGATCATTGCACCTATCACAAATCAGTTTCTCAGAAAGCTTCTTTCTAGTTTTAATCTGAATATATTTCATTTTTCACCATAGGCCTCAATGTGCTCCCAAATTTCTCTTTGTGGATTCTGTCAAAACAGTGTTTCCAGACTGCTGAATGAAAAGAAAAGTTTAACTCTGACAGGTGAATGCACACATCACAAAGCGATTTTTCAGATTGTTTCTGTTTTTATCCTGGGATGTTCGTTTTTCACCAATGATCTCAATGAACTCCTAAATTTCCATCCGGAGAATGGAGAAAAACAGTTTCCAAACTGCTGAAGCCAAAGAAATGTTTCGTTCTGTGAGGTGAATGCACATATCACAAAACAGTTTCTCAGAAAGCTTCTTTCTGATTTTTATCTGAAAGTATTTCCTTTTTCACCATTGGCCTGAATTTGCTCCCAAATATAACGTTGCAGATTCTACAAAAACAGTGTTTCAAAACTGCTGAATGTAAAGAAAGTTTAACTCTGAGAGATGAATGCACACATCACAAAGTGGTTTCTCAAAGAGCTTCCTTCTAGTTTTTATTCTGGAATATTCCCTTTTTTGTCATTGATCTAAATTAGTGACAAATTGTCCATTTACAAAATGAACAACAGAGTGTTTCAAAAGTACTGAATCCAAAGAAAAGTTTAACCCTGTGAGTAGAATGCACACACCACAAAGCAGTTTCTCAGAACGCTTCTTTCTAGTTTTTATCTGAGGATATTTCCTTTTTCACCATAGGCCTCAATGCGCTCCTAAATATCCCTTCTCATATTCTACTGAAACAGTGTTTCTAGATGGCTGAATGAACAGGAAGGTTTAACTCTGCGAGATGAATGCACATTTCACAAAAGGGTTTCTCAGATAGCTTGCCTCTAGTTTTCTCCTGGGGTATTCACTTTGTTGCCTTTGGCCTCAGTGAGCTCACAATTGTCCATTTGCAGAATGGACAAAAACTGTTTCCAAACCACTGAATGAAAAGCAATATTTAACTTTTTCACCATAGGCCTCAATGCTCTCACAAATATCAGTTCACGGATACTACCAAAACAGGGTTTCCAAACTGTGGAATCCAAAGACAGGTTTAAATCAGTGTGAATAATGCACACATCACAAAGCAATTTCCCAGAAATCTTCCTTCTAGTTTTTATCTGAAGATATTTCCTTTTTCACTGTAGGCCTCAATGCACACCCAAATATCACTTCACAGATTCTGCCAAAACAGTGTTTCCAGACTGCTGAATAAAAGAAAGGTGTCTCTCTGTGAGATATATGCACACATCACAAAGCAGTTTCTCTGAAAATTTCTTTCTAGTTTCTACCTGAAGATATTTCCTTTTTTAACATATTCCTCAATGTGCTCCAAAATATCCTGTTGCCGGTTCTACTAAAACAGTGTTTCCAAACTGCTGAATGAAAAGAAAGGTTTAACACTGTGAGATGAATGCATACATCTCAAAGCAGTTTCTCAGAAAACTTCTTTCTAGTTTTTATCTGAAGATATTTCCTTTTTCACCTTAGGCCTCAATGCACTCTGAGATATCCCTGCACAGATTCTACATAAACAGAGCTTCCACACTGTAGAATAAAAAGAAAGTTTTCCCTTTTTAACCATAGACCTCTATGCACTCCCAGATATCCATTCCCATATTCTATGAAAACAGTGTTTTGACACTGTTGAAAGAAAAGAAAGGTTTAATTCTGTGAGATGAATGCACACATCACAACGCAGTTTCTCAAAGAGCTTCCTTATAGTTTTTATCCTGGGATCTTTCCTTTTCTTGCCATTGGCGTAAATGAGCTCCCAAATGTCCATTTGCAGATTCTACAAAAAGAGTGTTTGCAAACTGTTTGAATCCACAGAAAGTTTTAACTCTGTGAGATGAATGCACACATCACAAACTTGTTTCTCAGAAATATTTTGTATTTTTTATCTGAAGATATTTCCTTTTTCTCTATAGGCCTAAATGCACCCCCAAATATCCCTTCACAAATTCTACCAAAATAGTGGTTCCCAACTGCTGAATGAAAAGAAAGGTTTAACTTTGCAGGATGAATGCACACATCACAAAGCCATTTCTCAGATAGCTTTCTTCTAGTTTTTATCCTGGGCTATTAACTTTTTGTCCTTTGGCCTCAATGAGATTCTGAATGTCCTTTTGCAGAATGGACAAAAGCAGTGTTTACAAACTGCTGAATCCAAAGAAAGTTTTAGCAATGTAAGATGAATGCACCCATCACAAAGCAGTTTCTCAGAAAGCTTCTTTCTAGTTTTTATCTGAAAGTATTTCATTTTTCACCATAGGCCTCAGTGTGCTCCAAGACATCCCTGTGCAGATTCTATGAACACAGTGTTTCCACACTGCAGAATGAAAACAAAACTTTAACTTTTTCACCATAGGCCTCAATACACTCACAAATATACCTACGCACATCCTACCAAAACAGTGTTTCCAAATTGCTGAATGAAAGGAAAGGTTTCACTCTGTGAGATGAATGTACACATCACGAATCAGTTACTCAATTTGCTTCTTTCTACTTTTTATTCTGGGATATTCCCTTTTTGGCCATTGGTCTCATTAGCTTCCAAGTGTGCATTCACAGAATGGAAAAAAAACAGTGTTTCCAAACTGCTGAATGAAAAGAAAGGTTTAACTCCATGAGATGGATGCAGACATCGCAAAGTAGTTTCTCAGAAAGCTTCTTTCGAATTTTAATCTGAAGATATTTCCTTATCACCCTAGGCCTCAACGTGCTCCATAATATCCTTTCGCAGAAACTTCCAAAACAGTGTTTCCAAACTGCTGAATGAATAGAAAAGTTTTACTCTGTGATCTGAACACACACATCACAAAGCTGTGTTTCAGATATCTTCCTTCTAGTTTTCACCCTATGATATGCTCTTTTTAGTCTATGTCCTCAATTAGCTATAAAATTTCCCTTGTAGATTCTACAAAAACAGTGTTTCCAACCTGCTGAATAAAAAAAAAGGTTTTATTCTGTGTAATGAATGAACACTTCACAAAGCAGTTTATCAGAAAGTTTCTTTCCAGTATTTACCTGAAGATATTCCCTTTTTCAGCATAGGCCTCAATGTGCTCCCAAATATCCCTTCGCAGATCCTACCCAAACAGTGTTTCCAAACTGCTTAATGAAAAGAAAGTTTTAAGACTGTGAGATGAATGCTGAAATCACGAAGACGTTCCTCAGATAGCTATATTTTTATTTTTTATCCTGGAATATTTGCTTTTTCACCATTGGCCTCAATGAGCTCCCAGATATCCATTCACAGAATTGACAAAAACAGAGTTACAAAGCTACTGAATTCAAAGAAAAGTTTAACTTTGCTGGGTGAATGCACACATCACAAAGAAGTTTCTCAGAAAGCTTCTTTCTAGTTTTTATCTGAACATATTTTCATTTTTACCATAGGCTTCAATGCTCTCACAAATATACCTATGCACATCCTACAAAAACAGTGTTTCAAAACTGCTGATTGAAAAGAAAAGTTTAACTCTGTGAGTTGAATGCATACATCAAAATGTGGTTTCTCAGTTGTTTACTTCTAGTTTTTATCCTGATATTTGCTTTTTCCCTTATTGCCTCAATGATTTATCAAATGTCCCTTCTTAGATTCCAAAAAAAGAGTGTTTCCAAACTTCTGAATCCAAAGAAAGGCTTAACTATGTGAGACAAATGCACACATCACAAAACAGTTTCCCAAAAAGCTTCTACCTAGTTTTTATCTGAAGATATTTCTTTTTTCACCATTGGCTTCAATGTGCTCCCAAATATAACTTCACAGATTTTACTGAAACAGTGTGTCCAAACTGCTGAATGAAAAAGAAAGGTTTATCACTGTGAGACGAATGAACACATCACACAGTGGTTTCTATGACAGCTACCTTCTAGTATTTCTCCTGGGTTATTCACTTTTTTGGCTATGCCCTAAATGAGCTATCCTATATCACTTCACAAATTCTACAAAAACAGAGTTACCAAACTGCTGCATCCAAGAAAAGTTTAACTTTGCTGGGTGAATGCACGCATCACAAAGCAGTTTCTCAGAAAGCTTCTTTCTAGTTTTTATTTGAGGATATTTCATTCTTCACTGTAGGCCTCAATGCACTCCCAAATATCCCTTTGGACTTTCTACCAAAACACTGTTTCCAAATTGCTGAAAGAAAAGAAAAGTTTAAATATACCAGATGAATGCACACATCAGAATGCGTTTTGTCAGAGAGCTTCCTTCTAGTTTTTTTCCCGGGATATTCACTTTTTCACCATTTGTCTCAATGAACTCCCAAATGTCCATTGGCAGAATGGACAAAAACAGTGTTTCCAAACTACTGAATCCAAATAAAGATTTAACTCTGTGAAATGAAAGAACACATCACAAAGCAGTTTCTCAGAATGCTTCTTTGTGGCTTTCATTTGAAGATGTTTCCTTTTTCACCATAGGCCTGAATGCACTCCCAAATATCCCTGCAAGGATCTTCCAAAACAGTGTTTCCAAACTACTGAATGAAAAGAGACTCTGCAGGGTGAATGTACACATCACAAGGCTGTTTCTCAGAGAGCTTCTTTCTTGTTTTTAATCCTAGGATATAGGCTTTTTTCCCTATGGCATCAATGAGTTACCTAATATCCCTTTGCATATTATAAAAAAACAGTGTTTTCATGCTGCTGAATCCAAAGAAAGAGTTACCTCTGAGAGATGAATGCACACATCAAAAAGCAGTTTATCAGATACTTTCATTCTGCTTTTTATGTGAATGTATTTCCTTTTTCATCATAGGTCTCAATGCACTCCCAACTATCCCTTTGAAGATTCTACATAAACAGCATTTCCAAACTGCTGAAGCAAAAGAAACATTTAACACTGCAACATAAATGAGCACATCACAGAGCAGTTCCACAGATAACTTCCTTGTAGTTTTTCTCCTGGGATATTTGTTTTTTCACCATTGGCTTTAATTCGCTCCCAAAAGTCCATTTGAGGATTCCAGAGAAACACTGTTTCCAAACTGCAGAATCCAAAGAAAGGTTTAACTCTGTGAGATGAATACACACATCACAAAGCAGTTTCTCAGAAAGATTTTTTCAAGTTTTCATCTGAAGATATTTCCTTTTTCACCATACACCTAAATGTGCTCCCAAATATCTCTTCACACATTCTATCAAAACAGCGTTTCCAAACTGCTGAATGAAAAGAAAGATTTAACTCTGCAAGATGAATGGACACATCACAAGGTGGTTTCTCAGATAGCTTTCTTCTAGTATTTATCCTGGGATATTTGCTTTTTCCCCTATGGCCTACAGGACCTATTAAATATTCCTTCACAGATACTGCAAAAACAGTGTTTCCAAACTACTGAAACCAAAGAAAAGTTTAACTATTTGAGATGAATGCACACATCAGAAAGCAGTTTCTCAGAAAGCCACTTTCTTTTTTTTTTTATCTGAAGATATTTCCTTTTTCACCATAGGCCTCAATGCATTCCCAAATATCCATTCGCAAATTCTACCAAAAGAGGTATTCCAAAATGCTGAATGAAAAGTATGGTTTAACTCTGCAAGATGAAAGCACACATCACAAACCAGTTTCTCAGAAAGGTTCTCTTTAGTTTTCATCTGAAGATATTTCATTTTTCACCATACGTCTCAATGTGCTCCAAAATATCGCTTCGCAGATACTACCAAAACTGTGTTTCCACACTGCTGAATTAAAGAATGGTTTAACTCTGTGAGATGAATGCACACAGAGTTGTTACTTGGATATTTTTCTTCTAGTTTTTATCCTGGTATATTCACTTTTTCACCATTGGCTTCAATGAGCTCTCAAATGTCCATTTGCAGAATTTGCAAAAACAGTGTTTCAAAACTGGTGAATAAAAAGGAAGTTTAACTCTGTGAGATGAATGCATACATAACAAAGCAGTTTCTCAGATAGCTTCCTTCTACTTTCGATCCTGAGATATTTGCTTTTTTGCTTTTGGTCTCAATGAGTTCCCAAATATACATTCGCAGAATGGACAAAAATGGTGTTTACAAACTGCTAAATCCCAAGAAAGGTTTAGCTCTGTGAAATGAATGCACACACCACAAAGCAGTTTCTCAGAAAGCTTCTTTCTAGTTTTTATCTGAATATATTTGTTCTTTCACCATAGGCCTCAATGCATTCCCAAATATCCCTTCAAAGATTCTACAAGAACAGTGTTTCCCAACTGCTGAATGAAAACAAAGGTTTAATTCTGTGAGATGAATGTCCACATCATAAAGCGGTTTCTCAGATAGCTTCCTTATAGTTTTTATCCTTTGATGTTCCCTTTTTCCCCATTGGCCTGAATAAGGTCCCAAATTTCCATTTACAGAAATGTCAAAAACAGGGTTTCCAAAGTGCTGAATAAAAATAAAAGTTTAACTCTTCAAGATGAATGCACATGTCACAAAGTAATTTATCAGATAACTTCCTTCTAGTTTTTATAATGGGATGTTCACTTCATCGCCTTTGGCCTCAATCAGCTCCCAAATATCCTTTCGCAGATTCTACAAAAATAGTGTTTCCAAACTGCTGATAACAAAGAAAGGTTTAATTCTGTGAGATGAATGCAGAAATCACAAAGCAGTTTCTCAGAAAGCTTCTTTCTAGTTTGTATCTGAAGATATTTCCTTTTTCACCAAAGGCCAAAATGCACTCCCAAATATGCCTTCACAGATTTTACAAAAAAAGTGCTTCCAAACTGCTGACTGAAAAGGATGATTTACCTCTGTGAGATGACTGCTCACATCACAAAACAATTTCTCGGATAGCTTCCTTCTAATTTTTATCCTGGGATATTTGTTTTATCACCTTTGGCCTCAATGGACTCCCAAATATCCCTTCGCTCTTTCTTTAAAAACAGTGTTTCCAAACTGCTCAATGCAAACAAATGTTTAACTCTGTGAGATGGATGCACACATCACAAAGCAGTTTCTCAGACAGCTTTCTTCTAGTTTTTACCTGGGATATTCACATTTTGACCATTGACCACAATGAGCTCCCAAATGTCCATTCACAGAATGGACAAAAACAGTGGTTTCAAATGCCTGATTGAAAAGAAAGGTTTAACTCTGAGAGATGAAATCACACATCACAAAGCAGATTCTCAGACAGCTTTCTTCTCATTTTTACCTGTGGTATTTGCATTTCCATGATTGGCCACAATTAGCTCCCAAATGTCCATTTGCAGAATGGACAAAAGCAGTGGTTCCAAACTGCTGAATCCAACAGAAGGCTGAACTCTGTGACTTGACTGAACACATCAGAAAGAAGAGTCTCAGAAAGCTTCTTTCTAGTTTTTAATCTGAATATATTTCCCTTTCTACCTTAGGCCTCAAAGCACTCCCAAATATCCCTTCACAGATTCTACCAAAACATTGTTTCCAAATTGCTGAAAGAAAAGAAAAGTTCAACTCTGCAAGATGAATGCACATATTACAAAGTGGTTTCTCAGATAGATTCCTTCTAGTTTTTATCCTGGGATATTTGCTTTTTTGCCTTTAGACCTAATGAGCTCCCAAATACTCCTTCTCAGATTCTACAAAAACAGTTTTTCCAAACTGCTGAATCCAAAGAAAGGTTTAACTCTGTGAGATGAATGCGCACATAACAAAGCAGCTTCTCAGAAAACTTCTATCTAGATTTATCTGAAGACATTTCCTTTTTCACCTTAGGCCTCAATGCACTCCCAAATATCCCTTCGCAGATTACACTGAAAGAGTGTTTCCAAATTGCTGAATGAAAACAAAGGTTTAACACTTCGAGAAGAATGCACAGATCACAAAGCAGTTTCTCAAATTGCTTTCTTCTATTTTTTATCCAGGGTTATTCATTTTTTTGACATTGGCTTAAATGAGCTCCAAAATATCCATTCACAGAATGGACAAAATAGTTTTTCCAAACTGCTGAATCCTAAGAAAGTTTTAACTCTGTAAGATGAATGGATACATCACAAATGGTTTCTCACAAAGCTTCTTTCAAGGATTTATCTGAATATATTTCCTTTTTCACCATATGCCTCAATACCTTCCCAAATATCCCTTCCCAGATCCTACAAAAACACTGTTTCCAAACTTCTGAAGGAAGAAAAATGTTTAACTCTGCGATATGAATGTGCACATCACAAAGCAGTTTCTCAGATAGCTTCCTTCTAGTTTTTATGCTGGGATATTCACTTTATTGCCTTTGTCCTCAATGAGCTCCCAAACATCCCTTTGTACATTCTACAAAAACAGGGTTTCTAAATTGCTGACACCAAAGAAAGTTTTAACTCTGTGAGATGAATGTTCAAATCACAAAGCAGTTTCTCAGAAAGGAACTTTCTAGTTTTTATGCTGGGATGTTTGCTTTTTCACCATTGGCCTCAAAGAGCTCCCAAATGTCCATTCACAGAATGGACAAAAGCAGATATTTGGGAGCTCACTGAGGCCAAAGGCAATAATGCAAATATACCAGGATAAAAAGTAGAAGGAAGCTATCAGAAACCGTTTTGTGATGTGTGCATTCATCTCGCAGAGGTAAACCATCCTTTTCAGTCCTCAGTTGGGAGAAACTGTTTTTGCAGTGTCTGCAAAGGGATATTTGGGAGTGCATTGAGGCCTAAGGTGAAAAAGCAAACAACTTCAGATTAAAACTAAAAAAAAGCGTTCTGAGAAACCCTTTCTGATGTGTGCATTCATCTTGCAGACTTAAAACTTTCTTTTGACTCAGCAGTTTGTAAACACTCTTTTTGTAGAATCAGCGAAGGGATATTTTGGAGCTCATTGAGGCCAATGGTGAAAAAGCGAATATCCCAGGAAAAAACTTCAAGGAAGCTATCTGATAAACCACTTTGCAATGTGCACATTAATCTTGGAGAGTTAAAACTTTCTTTTCATTTGGCAGTTTGGAAACACTGTTTTGGTAAAATCTGTGAAGGCATATTTGGGAGTGCATTGAGGCCTGTGGTTAAAAAGAAAATATCTTCAGATGAAAACTAGAAAGAAGCTTTCTGAGAAACTGCATTGTGATGTGTGAATTCACCTCACAGAGATAAACTTTTCTTTGGTTTCAGCAAATTGGAAATGATGTTTTTGTAGAATCTGTGAAGGGATATTTCAGAACTCATTGAGGCCAAAGGCGAAAAAGTGAATATCCAGGATAAAAACTAGAAGGAAGCATATAAGAAACCACTTTGTGATGTGTGCAGTTATCTCTCAGAAGTAAACCCTCCCTTTCTCAGCATGTTTGGAAACACTGATTTTGTAGAATCTGTGAAGGATTATTAGGGAGTTCATTGTGGCCTATAGTGAAAAAGGAAATAACTTCAGATAAAAACTAGAAAGAAGTCTTCTGAGAAACTGCTTTGTGATGGTTGTATTCATCTCACATAATTAAACTTTTCTTTGGATTCAGTAGTTTGGAAACGTTGTTTTGTCCATTCTGTGAATGGACATTTGGGAGCTTATTGAGGACAATGGAGAAAAAGTGATCATCCTAGGACAAAAACTAGAAGGAAGCTCTCTGAGAAACCGCTTTGTGATGTATGCACTCTTCTCACAGAGTTAAATCATTCTTTTAATTCAGCAGCTTGGAAACACTGTTTTGGTAGAATCCATGAAGGGATATTTTGGAGCGTGTTGAGGTCTATGGTGAAATAGGAAACATCTTCAGATAATAACTGGAAAGAAACTTTCTGAGAAAGTGCTTTGTAATGTGTGCGTTCATGTCACAGAGTTAAACGTTTCTTTGATTTCAGCAGTCTGGAAACAGTCTTTTTGTCCATTCTATGAATGGACGTTTTGGAGCTCATTGAGGCCAAAGGCAAAAATGGAAATATCCCACGAGAAAAACTAGAAGGAAGCTATCTGACAAACCACTTTGTGATGTGTGCATTCATCTCACAGAGTTAACCTTTCTTTTAATTCAGCAGTTTGAAAACACACTTGTGGTAGAATCTGTGATGGGACATTTGGGAGCCCATTGAGGCCTATGGTGAAAAATGAAATATGTTGAGATAAAAACTGAGAAGAATCATTCTGAGAAACTGCTTTGGAGGTGTGCATTCATCTCACTGAGTTGAACCTTTCTGTGGATTAAGCAGTTTCAAAACTCTGTTTTTTTAGAATCTGTGAAGAGATATTAGGGAGCTTATTGAGGCCAAATGCAGAAAATCAAATATCTCAGGAAAAAAAACTAGAAGGAAACTATCTCAGAAACCGCTTTGTGATGTGTGCATTCATCTAGCAAATTTAAATCTTTCTTTTCCTTCAGCAGTTTGGAAACACTGTGTTTGCAAAATCTGCGATGAGCTATTTGGAAGTGCATTAAGGCCTATGATTAAGAAGGAAATAGCTTCACATAAGAACTAGAAGCAAGTTGTCTGAGAAACTGCTTTGTGATATGTGCATTCAACTCACAGAGATATAACTTTCCTTGGATTCTGCAGGTTGGAAACACTGTTTTTGTAGAATCTGTGAAGGGATATTGGGGAGCTCATTGAGGGCAAAGATGATAAAGTGAACATAACTGGATAAAAACTAGAAGGAAGCTATTTGAGAAACCACTTTGTGATGTGTGCATTCATCGCAAATTTAAACCATTCTTTTCTTTCAGCAGTTTGGAAACACAGTTTTGGTACACTCTGAAAAGGGATACTTGAGAACTCATTGAAACATAGGGTGAAAATGGAAACATTTTCTAATAAAAACTCTAAAGAAATCTTCTGAGAAACAGCTTTTATGATGTGTGCATTCATCTCACTCTGTTAAACATTTCTTCGGATTCAGCAGTTTGGAAACAGAGTTTTGCAGAAACTGCGAAGGGATATTTGGGAGCTCATTAAGGCTAAAGGCGAATATCCCAGGATAAAAACTGAAAGGAAGCTATCTGAGAAACCACTTTGTGATGTGTGCATTCACCTCACAGAAGTAAAACTTTCTTTTCATTCAACAGTTTTGGAAACTGTGTTTGAAAAATCTGCAAAGGGATGCTTGGAACAGCATTGATGCCTAAGGTGAAGAAGGAAATATCTTCAGATAAAAAATAGAAAGAAGCTTTCTGAGAAACTGTTTCTTGATGTGTGCAGTCGTCTCACAGCATTAAACTTTTCTTTAGATTCGATAGTTTGCAAACACTGTTTTTGTCCATTCTGTGAATGGACATTTTGGAGCTCATTGAGGCTAAAGGCAAAAAAGGGAATATCCCAGGGCAAAAGCTGGAAGGAAGATATCTGAGAAACCGCTTTGTTATGTGTACATTCAACTTACAAAGTTAAACCTTTTTTTTCATTCAGCAGTTTGGAAACACTGTTTTGGCAGAATCTGCAAAGGGATATGTGGGATCACATAGAGGCATACGGTGAAAGAGAAAATAACTTCTGATAAAAACTAGAAAGAAGCCTTCTGAAAACTGCTATGTGATGACTACACTCATTGTACAGAGTTAAAAATTTATTTGGAATCAGAAGCTTGGAAACACTGTTTTTGAATAATCTACCACATGATATTTTATAGATAATTGATGCCATAGGAGAAAAAATGAATATACCTTTATAATAACTAGAAGGAAACTATTTTAGAAACCGTTTTGTGATGTGTGCATTCTCCTCGCAGAGTGAAATCTTTCTTTCACTCAGCAGTTTGTAAACACTGTTTTGGTGGAATCTGTGAAGAGATATTTGGGAGCTCATTGAGGCCTATGTTGAAAATGGAAATAGCTTCAGATAAAAACTAGAAAGAAACTTTCTGAGAAACAGCTTTGTGGTGTGTGCAATCATCTCACAGTGTTCAAACTTTTTTTGGATTCAGCAGTTTGGAAACACTGTGTTCTCCATTCTGTGAATGGATATTTGGGAGCTCATTGAGATCATTGGTGAAAAAGTGAATATTCCAAGATAAAAACTAGAAGGCAGCTATCTGAGAAACCCATTTGTGATGTGTACATTCAACTCACAGAGTTAAGGTTTCTTTTCATGCAGCAGTTTGGAAACACTGTTTTGGTAGAATTTGTGAAGGTATATTTGGAGAGCACTGAGGCCTATGTTGAAAACAGAAATAGCTTCAGGTAAAAACTAGAAAGAAGCTTCCTAAGAAACTGCTTTGAGATTTGTGCAATCAACTCACAGAGTTAACCCTTTCTTTGGATACAGCAGTTTGGAAACACAGTTTTGTCCATTCTGCAAATGGATATTTCAGAGCCAATTGAGGTCAATTGCAAAAAAGCGAATATTCCAGCATAAAAACTAGAAGGGAGCTATCTGAGAAACCCATTTGGGATGTGTGCAATCATCTAGCAGATTTAAAGGTTTCTTTTCATTCAGCAGTTTGGAAACAAAGTTTTGGTAAAATCTATGAAGGGATATTTTGGAATGCATAGAGGCCTATGGTGAAAAAGGACATAACTTCAGACATAAACCAGAAAGAATTTTTCTGAGAAACTGCTTTGTGATGAGGGCATTCATCTCACAGAGATAAACCGTTTTTGGATTCAGCAGTTTGGATACACTGTTGTTGTAGAATCTGTGAATGGATATTGGGGAGGCCAAAGGTGAAAAAGTGAATATCCAAAGATAAAAATTAGAAGGGAGCCATCAGAGAAACTGCTTTGGTAAGTATGCATTCATCTCACAGATTTAAACCTTTCTTTTAATTCAGCAGTTTGGACATACATTTTTGGTAGAATCTGCGAGGGGATATTTGGGAGAACATTGATGCCTATGGTGAAAATGGAAATATCTTCAGATAAAAACTAGAAAGAAGCTTTCTGAGAAACTGCGTTGTGATGCATCCATTCCTCTCACAGAGTTAAACATTTCTTTGGATGCAGCAGTTTGGAAACACTGTTTTTGTCCATTCTGCGAATGGACATTTTGGAAGTCAATGAGGCCAATGGCAAAAAAATGAATATCGCTTTATAAAAACCAGAAGGAAGTTATTTAAGAAACCAATTTAGATGTGTGCATTCATCTCACAGAGTTAAATCTTTCTTATCATTCAGCAGTTTGGAAACACTACTTTTCTGGAATATGCAAAGGGGGATTTGTGAGCTCATTGAGGCCAAAGGTGAAAAAGCAAATGTCCCAGGATAAAAACTAGAAGGAAGCTATCTGAGAAACTCCTTTGTGATGTGCACATTTATCTCACAGAGTTAAACCTTTCTTTTCATTCAGCCATTTGGAAACTCTGTTTTTGAAGAATTGGCAAAGGGATATTTGGGAGCGTATTGAGGCCTATGATGAAACAGGCTTATGACGAAACTAGAAACAAGCTTTCTGAGAAAGTGCTTTGTGATGTGTCCATTCATCTCAGAGAGTTAAACCTTTCTTTAGATTCATCAGTTTGGAAACACTGTTTTTGTCCATTGTGCAAATGGACATTTGGAAGTTCATTGAAGCCAATGGCAAAAAAGTGAATATCCCACGACAAAAACTAGATGAAAACTATCTGAGAAATCGCTTTGTGATGTGTTCATTCTTCTCACACATTTAAACTTTTCTTTGGATTCATCTGTTTGGAAGCACTGTTTTAGTAGAATCTGTGAAAGGGTATTTGGGAGCTCACTGAGGCCAAAGCCAATAAAAAGAAAATCCCAGGGTAAAAACTAGAAGGAAGCTCTCTGAGTAACTGCTTTCTGATGTGTGCATTTGCCTCGCAGAGATAAACATTTATTTTCCTTCAACAGTTTGGAAACACAGTTTTGGTAGAATGTGCAAAATGTTATTTGGGAGTGCATTGAGGCTTATGGTGCAAAAGGCAATATCTAAAGATTAAAACTAGAAAGAAATTTTCTGAGAAACTGTTTTGTGATGTATGCGTTCATCTCACAGAGTTCAACTTTTCTTTAGATTCAGCAGTTTGGAAACACTGTTTTAGTCCATTCTGAGAACAGACATTTGTGTGCTTATTGAGGCCAATGGTGAAAAAGCGAATACCCCAGGATAAAAACTAGAAGGAAGCTATCAGAGAAACTGTTTTTGATGTGTGCCTTCATCTTTCACAGTTATACCTTTCTTTTCATTCAGCAGTTTAGAAACACTCTTTTGGTAGACCCTGCATAGAGATATTTGCGAGCGCACTGAGACCAATGGTGAAAAAGGAAATATCTTAAGAAAAAAACTTGATAGAACTTTCTGAGAAACTGCTTTGTGATGTGTGCCTTCATCTCACAGAGTTAAACCTTTCTTTTATTCAGCAGTTTAGGAACACTGTTTTTGTCCATTCTGTGAATGTATATTTGGAACCTCATTGAGGCCAATTGAGAAAAAGTGATTATCCCAGGATAAAAACTAGAAGGAAGTCATCTGAGAAATCACTTTGTGATGAGTGCATTCATCTCGCAGAGTTAAACTTTTCTTTTCATCAGCAGTTTGTAAATTCTGTTTTTGGTAGAATCTGTGAAGGGATATTTGGGAGGGTTATGAGGCCTATGGTCAAAAAAGAAATACCTTAAGACAAAACCTAGAAAGAAGCTTTCTGAGAAACTGCTATGTGATGTGTTCATTCATCTCACAGAGTTAAACCTTTCTTTGATTCAGCAGTTTGGAAATACTCTTTTCATAGAATCTGTAAAGGGATATTTTGGAGCTCATTGAGGCCAAATCCGAGAAAGCAAACATGTGAGGATAAAATCTAGAAGGAAACTATCTGTGAAACTTCTTTGTTATGTGTACATTCATCTCAAAGTGTTAAGGCATTTCTTTAGACTCAGCAGTTTGGAAACACAGTTTTTGTCCATTCTGCGAGTGGGCATTTCAGAGCTCATTGAGGCCAATGGCAAAAAAGTGAATACCCCAGGATAAAAGAAGAAGGAAGCCATCTGAGAAACTGATTTGTGATGTGTGTATTCACCTCTCCCTGTTAAAACTTTCATTTCTTTCAGCAGTTTTGAAACAATGTTTTGGTACAATCCATGAAGGGATATTTGGGAGCTCATTGAGGCCTATGTTGAAAAAGAAAATATCTTCAGATTAAAAATTAGAAAGAAACATTCTGAGAAACTGCTTTGTGATGTGTCCATTCATTTCACAGAGTTAAACCTTTCTTTGGATTCATCAGTTTGGAATCACTGTTTTGTAGAATCTGGCAAATCTGAAAAAGAAAACACATGAGGATAAAATCTAGAAGGAAGCTACCTGTGAAATTTCTTTGTGATGTGTACATTCATCTCAAAGTGTTAAGGCATTTCTTTAGACTCAGCAGTTTGGAAACACAGTTTTTGTCCATTCTGCGAGTGGGCATTTCAGAGCTCATTGAGGCCAATGGCAAAAAAGTGAATACCCCAGGATAAAAGAAGAAGGAAGCCATCTGAGAAACTGATTTGTGATGTGTGTATTCACCTCTCCCTGTTAAAACTTTCATTTCTTTCAGCAGTTTTGAAACAATGTTTTGGTACAATCCATGAAGGGATATTTGGGAGCTCATTGAGGCCTATGTTGAAAAAGAAAATATCTTCAGATTAAAAATTAGAAAGAAACATTCTGAGAAACTGCTTTGTGATGTGTCCATTCATTTCACAGAGTTAAACCTTTCTTTGGATTCATCAGTTTGGAATCACTGTTTTGTAGAATCTGGCAAATCTGAAAAAGAAAACACATGAGGATAAAATCTAGAAGGAAGCTACCTGTGAAATTTCTTTGTGATGTGTACATTCATCTCAAAGTGTTAAACATTTCCTTAGATTCAGCAGTTTGGAAACACAGTTTTTGTCCATTCTGCGAATGGGCATTTTGGAGCTCATTGAGTCTAAAGGCAAAAAACTGAATATCCCAGGATAAAAACTAAAAGGAAGCTCTCTTAGAAACAGCTTTGTGAAGTGTGCATTCATCTGGCACATTTAAACTTTTCTTTAATTCAAGAGTTTGGAAACACTGTTTTTGAATATCCTGCAAATTGATATTTTTGGGAGTGCTTTGAGGCCTATTGTGAAAAAGGAAATATCTCAAGACAAAAACTAGAAAGAAGCTTCCTGAGAAAATGCTTTGTGATGTGTGCATTCAGCTCAGAGAGTTAAAACTTTCTCTGCAATCAGTAGTTTGGAAAAAATGTTGTCCATTCTGTGAATGGATATTTGAGTTCTTTGAGGCCAATGATGAAAAAGTAAATATCCCAGGATAAAAACTAGAAGAAAGCTATCTGAGAAACTTCTTTGTTATATGTGCATTCCTCTCACAGAGTAAAATCTTTATTTTCATTCAGCAGTTTGGAAATTCTCTTTCAATAGAATCTGTAAAGGGAAATTTGGGAGCTCTTTGAGGTCTCTGATGAAAATGGAAATATCTTCAGATAAAAACCAGCAAGAATCTTTCTGAGAAACTGCTTTGTTATGTGTGCATTCATCTCACAGAGTTAAATATATCTATAGATTCAGCAGTTTGGAATGACTGTTTTGTCCATTCTGTGAATGTACATTTTGGAACTCATTGTGGCCTAATGGGAAAAAGTGAATATCACAGGATAAAAACTAGAAGGAAGCTATTTGAGGAAACTCTTTGTGATGTGGGCATTCATCTTGCAGAGTTAAACCTTTCTTTGAAATCAGCAGTTTGGAAACACTGTTTTGGTAGAATCTACGAAGGCATATTTGGGAGTGCATTGAGGCATTTGGTGATAAGGGAAATACCTTCATATGAAATCTAGAAAAAGATTTCTGAAAATCTGCTTTGTAATGTGTGCATTCTTCTCACAGAGTTAAAATTTTCTTTGGATTCAGTAGTTTGGAAACACTGTTTTTGTAGAATCTGCAAAGGGATATTTAGGAGTCCATTTTGGCCAAAGGTGAAAAAATGAATATCCCTAGATTAAAACACGAAGGAAGATATCTGAGAAACCACTTGGTCATATGTGCCTTAATGTTGCTGATATAAAATTTTGTTCTCATTCAGCAGTTTGGAAACACTATTTTTGTGGAATCTCTGAAGGGATATTTGAGAGTGCATTGAGGCATATGTTAAAAAGGGAAACATCTTCAGATAAAAACTAGAAAGGAGCTTTCTGAGAAACTGCTTTGTAATGTGTGATTCATCTCACAGCGTTAAGCATTACTTTTGATTCAGCAGTTTGGAAACACTGTTTTTGCAGAGTCCACAAAGGAATATTTGATAGCTCTTTGAGGCCAAAGGTGAAAAAAAAAATCTCAGGAAAAAACTGGAAGGAAACTATCTGAGAAACTGCTTTGTGATGTGTGCACTTATCTCGCACAGCTAAAACTTTCTTTTCATTCAGCATTTTGGAAAAACTGTTTCAGTAGGATCTGTGAAGGAATATTTGGGAGCTCATTGAGACCAGAGGTGAAAAAGGAAATACCTTCAGTTTATAAACAAGGAAGAAGCTTTTTGATAAAGTGCTTTGTGATGTGTGCATTCATCTCACAGAGTTAAATATTTCTTTGGATTCAGCAGTTTGGAAACACCGTTTTTGTCCATTTTGTGAATGGACATTTGGGAGGTTGTTGAGTCCAATGGTGAAAAAAGGAATACTTCTGCCTAATAACTTGAAGAACGTTAACTGAGAAACCCCTTTGTGATGTGTGCGTTTATCTACAGTTAAACCTTTCTTTTCATTCAGCAGTCTGGAAACACTATTTTGTAGAATCTGTAAAGGGATATTTGGGAGTGTCTTGAGGCCTATGGTGAAAAAGGAAATATCTTCAGATAAAAACTAGAGAGAATCTTTCTGAGAAACTGCTTTGTGATGTGTGCATTCATCTCACAGAGTTAAACTTTTCTTTGGATTCAGTAGTTTAGAGACAGTGTTTTTGTCCTTTCTGGGAATGGACATTTTGGAGCTCATTGAGGCAAAATGAAAAAACCAAATATCACATGATTAAAAACTAGAAGGAAGCTACTTGAGAAACCGCTTTGTGATGTGTGCATTCATGTCACAGAGTTAAACCACTTTTTCTTTCAGCAGTTTGGAAATACTGTTTTAGCAGGATTTGCTGAGGAATATTTTGGAGCATATTGAGACCATAGGTGAAAAAGCAAATATCCCAAGATAAAAACTCGAAGGAAGGTATCTGAGAAACCACTTTGTGATGTGTGCATTCAACTCACAGAATTAAAACTTTCTTTTCATTCAGTATTGTGAAAACCCTCTTTTTGTAGTATGTGTGAAGAGATATTTGGGAGTGCCTGAGGCCTACAGTGAAAAAGGAAATATCTTTAGATTAAAAACTAGAAAGAAGCATTCTTAAAAACTGCTTTGTGATGTGTGCATTCATCTCACAGAATTAAACCTTTCTGTGGATTCAACGGTTTGGAAACACTGTATTTGTTCATTCTGAGAGTGGACATTTGGAAGCTCAGTAAGGCCAATGGTGAAAAAGCAAATAAATCAGGATAAAAACTGGAAGGAATCTACCAGAGAAATTGATTTGTAATGTGTGCATTAATCTCGAAGAGATAAACTTTTCTTTTCATTCAGAAGTTTGGGAACACTGTTTTTGTAGAATCTGTGAAGGGGTATTTAGGAGTGCATTGAGGCTTATGGTGAAAAAGGAAATATCTTCAGATAAAAACAAGAAGGAAGCTTTCTCAGAAACTGCTTTGTGATGTGTGCATTTGGATTTCTTTGGATTCATCTCTTTGGAAACACTGTTTTTATAGAATCTGCAAAGGGACATTTGATAGCTCTTTGAGGCCATAGGCTAAAAACTGAATATCCCAAGATAAAAAAGAGACAGAAGATCTGAGAAAGTGCTTGGTGACATGTGCATTCATCTCACAGAGTTAAACATTTCTTTTCATTCAACAGTTTGGAAACCTGTTTTGGTAGGGTCTGCATAGGGCTATTTCAGAGTGCATTGCGACCTATGGTGAAAAATAAATTATCTTAAGATGAAAACTAGAAAGAAATTATCTGAAAAACTTCTTTATGATAAGTGTATTCATCTCAGACCTTTCTTTGTATTCAGTAGTTTGGAAACACTGCTTTTGTAGAATCTGTAAAAGAATATTTGATAGCTCATTGAGTCCATAAAGGAAAAAGCGATTATACCAGGATAAAAATTAGAAGGAAGCTATCTGAGAAACCGCCTTGGATGTGTACATTCACCTCGCAGAGTTGAACCTTTCTTTTCATTCAGCAGTTTGGAAACACTTTTGGTAGAATATTTGGAGTGACATTTGGCAGAGCATTCACGCCTATGGTGATAAAGGAAATACCTTCAGATGAAAAGTAGAAAGAAGCTTTCTGACAAACTGCTTTGTGATGTGTGCATTCACCTCACACAGTTAAACCTTTCCTTGAATTCTGCAGTTTGGAAACACTATTTTTGTCCATTCTGCAAATGGACATTTGGGAGCTTATTGAGGCCAATGGTGAAAAAGGGAGTATCTCAGGATAAAAACTAGAAGGAATCTGTCTGAGAAACTGCCTGCAATATGCACATTCATCTCGCAGAATTAAACCTTTCTTTTCATTCAGCAGTTTGGAAACACTGTTTTGGTGGAATCTGCGAAGGGATATTTGAGAGGGCATTGAGGTTTATGGTGAAAGAGGAAATATCTTCAGATGAAAGCTAGAAAAAAGCTTTTTGAGAACTTGGTTTGTGATGTGTGCATTCATCTCACAGAGTTTAACCTTTCTTTGTATTCAGACTTTGGAATCACTGATTTTGTAGAATCTGTGAAGGGAGCACATTGAGGCCTATGTTGAAAAAGGAAATATCTTCAGAAAAAAAACTAGAAAGAATCTTTCTGAGAAACCGCTTTGTGATGTGTGCATTCATCCCACAGAATTAAACCTATCTTTGGATACAGCAGTTTGGAAACACTGTTTTTGTAGAATCTGCATAGGGATATTAGATAACTCCATTGTGGCCATAGGAGAAAAAGTGAATATCCTAGGATAAAAAAAAGAAGGAAGCTATCTGAGAAAACGATTTCCCAAATGTCCATTTATCTCAAAGAGTTAAACCTTTCTTCAGATTCAGTGGTGTGGAAACACTGTTGTTGTAGAATCTGAAAAGGGATATTTGAGTGCTCATTGAGGCCAAATTCAAAAAAGCAAATATTCCAGGATAAAAACTAGAAGGATTCTATCTGAGAAACAGAATTGTGCTGTTTGCTTTAATCTAGCAGAATTAAATATTTCTTTTCATTCAGCAGTTTTTAAACACTGTTTTTGTAGAATCTGTCAAGGTATATTTGGTACTGCCTTGAGGCTTATGGTGAAAAGGATATATCTTCAGATAAAAACCAGAAAGAAGCTTTCTGAGAAACTGCTTTCTGATGTGTGCTTTCATGTCACAGAGTTAAACCTTTTTTTGGGTTTGCAGTTTGCAGTTTGGAGACCCTGATTTTGTCCTTTCTGCAAATGGACATATGGGAGCTCCTTGAGGCTAATGGCAAAGGAGTGAATATCCCAGGATAAAAACTGGAAGGAAGCTACCTGTGAAACGGCTTTGTGATGTCAGCATTCATCTTGAAGAGTTAAAACTTACTTTGGATTGCACAGTTTGGAAACACAGTTTTTGTCCATTCTGCAAACGGACTTTTGGGAGGTCATTGAGGCCAAAGGTGAAAAAGCGAATATTCCAGGATAAATACTAGAAGAAAGCTACCTGAGAAACCACTTTGTGATGTGCACATTCATGTTGCCAAGTTAAACCTTACTTTCCATTCAGCAATTTGAAAACACTGTTTTTGTAGAATACGCAAAGGGATATTTGGGTGCACGTTGAGGCCTCTGGTGAAAAAGAAAATATCTTCAGGTAAAAACTAGAAAGAAGCTTTCTGAAAAACTGCTTTGTCATGTATTCATTCATAACAAATAATTATACCTTTCTTTGGATTCAGCAGTTTGGAAACACTGTGTTTGTAGAATCTGTGAAGGAATATTAGACAGCTCATTGAGGCCATAGACGAAAAAGCAAATATCCCAGGATAAAAACTAGAAGGAAGTTATCTGAGAAACTGCTCTGTGACTTGTGCATTCATCTCGTAGAGTTAAACGTTTCTTTTTATTCAGCAGTTAGGATACACTATTTTGGTAGTATCTGCAAAGGGAAATTTGGGAGCACATTGGAGCATATGGTGATAAAGGAAATACCTTCAGATGAAAGCAAGAAAGAAATTTTCTGAGAAACTGCGTTTTGATGCATGCATTCATTTCACAGAGTTAAGCTTTCTTTGGATCCAGCAGTTTAGAAACACTATTTGTGTAGAGTCTGTGAAAGGTTATTTGGAAGCTCATTGAGGCCATATAAGAAAAAGCGAATATCCGTGGGTAATAACTAGAAGGAAGTTTTCTGAGAAACTGCTTTGTGATGTGTACATTCATCTTGCAGAGTTAAACATTTCTTTTTATTCAGCAGTTTGGAAACACTGTATTTGTAAAATCTGCAAAGGGATATTTGGGAGTGCATTGAGGCCTACGGTGAAAAAGGAAATATCTTCATATGAAAATGAGAAAACAGCTTTTGGAGAAACCACTTTGTGATGTGCTCATTTATCACACAGAGTTAAACAATTCTTTAAATTCAGTAGCTTGGAAACACTGTTTTTGTCCATTCTGAGAATGGACATTTGGGAGTTCTTTCAGGCCAATGGCAAAAAAGCAAATATCACAGGATAAAAACTAGAAGGAAGCTATCTGAGAAACAACTTTGTGATGTGTGCTTTCATCTCTCAGGATTAAAGTTTTCTTTTCATTCAACAGTCTGGAAACACTGTTTTGACAGACTCTGTGAAGGGACTTTTTGGGAGCATACTGAGGCATATGGTAAAAAAGGAAATATGTTCAGATAAAAAATAGAGAAAAGCTTTTTGAGAAATTGCTTTGTGATGTGTGCATTCATCCCACACAGTTAAGCCTTTATGTGGATTCAGCAGTTTGGAAACAATGCTTTTGTAGAATCTGTGAAGGGATATTTGGGAGGTCATTGATGTCAAAGTCAAAAAAGTAAATATCCTCAGACAAAAATTAGATAGAAATTTCTAAGAAACGTTTCTTGGGATTCAGTAGTTTAGAAACACTGTTTTGGAAGAATCTGCAAATGGATATTTGGGAGTACTTTGAGGCCTTTGGTGAAAAAGGAAATATATTCAGGTAAAAACTAGAAAGAAAGATTGTGAGAAACAGCTTTGTGATGTGCACATTCCTCTCACAGAAGAAAACCTTTCTATGGCTTCAGCAGTTTGGAAACACTGTTGTTGCAGAATCTGCAAAGGGATATTTGGTAGCTAATTGAGACTTAATGTGAAAAAGGGAATATCTCAGGAAAAAAACTAGAAGGAAGCTATTTGAGAAACAGCTTCATGATGTGTGCATTCATCTCACAGAGTTAAACCTTTATTTCTTTATTTCTTTCTGCAGTTTGGAAACACTATTTTTGCAGAATCTGTGAAGGGATATTTGGGACTGCATTGAGGCCTATGGTGAAAAAGGAAATAATTTCAGATAAAAAGCAGGAAGAAGCATTCTGAGAAACTTCTTAGTGATGCGTGAATTCATCTCACAGAGACAAACAGTTCTTTGGATTCAGCAGTTTGCAGTTTGGAAACACTGTTGTTGTAGAATCAGCAAACAGACGTTTGGGAGCTCATTGAGGCCTATGGCAAAAGACCGAATATCCCAGAATAAAAACTAGAAGGAAGTAATCTGAGAAACTTCTTTGTGATGTGTGCCCTCATCTAACAGATTTAAATCTTTGTTTTCATTCAGCAGTTTGGAAACACTGTTTTGGTACAATCTGCAAAGGTATATTTCAGAGCGCATAGAGGCCTACGGTGAAAAAGGCAATATCTACAGATAAAAAGTAGAAAGAAGCTTTCTGAGAAACTGCTTTATAATGTGTGCATTCATCTCACAGAGTTAAACATTTCTTTGTATTCAGCAGTTTGGAAACACTGTTTTTGTCTCTTCTGTGAATGGACATTTGTGAGCTCATTGAGGCCAAAGGGTAAAAAACGAATATCCCAGGTTAAAAAGTAGACAGAAGCTGTCTGAGAAACCGCTTTGTGATGTGTGAATTCATCTCACAGAGTTAAACATTTTTTTTCATTTAGCAGTTTGGAAAAACTGTTTTGGCAGAAACTGTGAAGGGATATTTGGGAGCACTTCGAGGCCTATGGAAAAAAAGGAAATATATTCAGATAAACAATAGAAAGTAGCTTTCTGACAAAGTGCTTGTGATGTCTGCATTCATCTCACAGAGTTAAAACTTTCTTGGATTCAGCAGTGTGGAAACACTGTTGTTGTAGAATCTGTGAAGGGGTATCTGTGTACTCATTGAGACCAAAGTCAGAAAAGTAAATATCCCAGGATAAAAACTAGATGGATGTTATCTGAGAAACAAAATTGTGATATTTGCCTTCATCTAGCAGAGTTAAATATTTCTTTTCATTTGGCAGTTTGGAAACACTGTTTTTGTAGAATCTGTGGAGGTATATTTGGGACGGCCTTGAGGCCTATGTTGAAAAGGTAAATACCTTCAGATAAAACTAGAAAGAAACTTTCTGAGAAATTGCTTTGTGATGTGTGCATTCATCTCACAGAATTTAAACTTTCTTTGGATTCGAAGTTTGTAGTTTAGAAACACTTTTTTTGTCCATTCTGTGAATGGACATTTGGGAGTTCCTTGAGGCTAATGGCAAAAGAGCGAATATCTCACAATAAAAAACTGGGAGGAAGATACCCGAGAAACTGCTCTGTGATGTCTGCATCCATCTCACAGAGTTAAAACTTTCTTTTCATGCAACTGTTTGGAAACACTGTTTTTGTAGAATCCACGAAGGAATATTTCAGAGTGCATTGAGGCCTATGGTAAAAAAAGAAATATATTCAGATAAAAACTACAAAGAAACTTTCTGAGAAACTGACTTGTGATGTGTGCATTCATCTCACAGAGTTAGACCTTTCTTTGGATTCAGCAGTTTCGAAACCTTATTTTTGTCCAATCTGTGAATGGCCGTTTTGGAACTCATTGGGACCAAAGGTGAAAGAGCAAGTATCCCAGAATAAAAATTAGAAGGAATCTGTCTCAGAAACTGCTTTCTGATGTGTGTGTTCATCTCACAGGGTTAAAACTTTCTGTGGATTCAGCTGTTTGTAAACAAGGTTTTTATAAAATCTCCAAATGGGTATTTGGGAATGCCTTGATGCCTATGGTGAAAAAGGAAATACCTTCTGATAAAAACTAGAAGGAAGCTTTCTGAGAAACTGCTTTGTGATGTGTGCATTCATCTGAAAGAATTAAACCTTCGTTTGGATTCAGCAGTTTGGAAGCATCGTTTTTCCAATTCTGCGAATGGACATTTTGATGGTTATTGAGGCCGTAGTTTAAGAAATTAATTTCCCAGGATAAAAACTAGAAGGAAGCTATCTGAGAAACTGCTTTGTAATGTGTGCATTCATCTCACTGAGACAAACTTTTCTTTTCATTCAGCATTTAGGACACAGTGTTTTGGTAGTATCTGTGAAAGGGCATTTTGGAACACGTTGTGGCATATGGGGAAAAGGGAAATATCTTCAGATGAAAACAGGGAAGAAATTATCTGAGAAAATACTTTGTGTTGTGTGCATTCATCTCACAGATTGAAACTTTCTTTAGACTCAGTAGTTTGGAAACTCTCTGTACAATCTTTGAAGCAATAATTCAGAGCTCATTGAGGCCTCAGGTGAAAAAGGGAATATGCGTGGATAAAAACTAGAAGGAAGTTTCTGAGAAACTACTTTGCAATGTGTTCATTCATCTCACAGAGATAAAGCTTTCTTTTCATTCAGCAGTTTGGAAATACTGTTTTGGTAGAATCGACGAAGAGATATTTTGGAGTGCATAGAGGCCTATGGTGAAAAAGGAAATATCTTCAAATAAAAACGCGAAAGAAGCTTTCTGAGAAACTGCTTTGTGATGTGTGCATTCATTGCACAGAGTTCAACCTTTCTTTGCATTTGGCAGTTTAGAAACACTGCTTTTGTACATTATGAGAATGGACATTTGGGAGGTCATTGAGGCCAAAGGAGAAAAGGCAATCATCCTAGGATAAAAACTAGAAGAAATCTATCTGAGAAACCTCTTTGTGACATGTGTATTCATCTCACAGAGTTGAACATTTCTTTTCATTTAGCAGTTTGGAAACTCTGTTCGGGTGCTATCCGTGAAGGGATATTTGGGGGCGTATTGAAGCCTATGGTGAAAAAGGAAATATCTTCAGATAAATACTGAATAGAAGCTTTCTGAGATTCTGCTTTTTGATGTGTGTATTCCTCTCACAGAATAAAACCTTCTTTCAATACAGTAGTATGGAAACACTGTTTATGTAGAATTTGGGAGCTCACTGATGCCAAAGACAAAAAAGTGAATATCCTAGGATAAAAACTAGAAGGAAGCTAACTGAGAAACCACTTTGTGATGTGTGCTTTCATTTAGGAGAGTTAAACCTTTCTGTCCATTCAGCAGTTTGGAAACACTGTTTTAGTAGAATACGCAATGTGATATCTGGGAGTGTATTGAAGCCTATGGTGAAAAAGGAAATATCTGTAGATAAATACTAAAAAGAAGCTTTCTGAGAAACTGCTCTGTGATGTGTGCATTCATCTCATAGAGATAAAGCTTTCTTTGCTTTCAGTAGTTTGGAAACACTTTTTGTAGAATCTGTGAAGTGATATTTGATAGCAAATATTGCAAGATAAAAACTAGAAGAAATCTATCTCAGAAACCACTTTGAGATGTGTGCATTCATCTCAGAGAGTTAAATCTTTTTTTCTTTCAGCAGTGTGGAAACGCTGTTTTGGTAGAATCTGCTAAGGAATATTTGGGAGTGCACTGAAGCCTATTTTGAAAAAGGAATTATCTTCAGATAAATTCTCAAAAGAAGCTTTCTGAGAAACTGCTTTGAGATGTGTGCATTCAACTCGCAGAGTTAAAACTTTCTTTTCATTCAGCAGTTTGGAAACACAGTTTTGGTAGTATCTACCAAGGGACATTTGGGAGTGCATTAAGGCTTGTAGTGAAAAAGGAAATATCTTCCGATGAAAATGAGAAAGAAGCTGTCTGAAAAACTGCTTTGTGATGTGTGCATTAAAGTCACAAAATTAAACCTTTCTTTGGATTCAGTAGTTTGGAACATGGTTTTTGTAGAATATGCGAAGGGATATTTGGAAGCACTTTGAGGCCTATGATGAAAAAGGAAATATCTTCAGATAAAAACTAGAAAGAAGCTTTCACAGATTAAAACCATTCTTTGGATTTAGCAGTTTGGAAACACTGTTTTTGTCCATTCTGCCAATGGACATTTGGGAGGTCATTGAGGCCAGAGGCGAAAAAGAGATCGTCCCATGATAAAAACTGGAAGAAACCAATCTGAGACACCTCTTTGCCATGTATGCATTCATCTCTCAGAGTTAAACCTTTCTTTTCATTCAGCAGTTTGGAAACTGTGTTTGGGTAGTATCTGCGAAGGGGTATTTGGGAGTACATTGCGGCCTATGATGAAAAAGGAAATATCTTCAGATAAATACTAGAAAGAAGCTTTTGAGAAACTACTTAATGATGTGTGTAGTTGTATCACAGAGTTAAATCTTTCTTTTGATTCTGTAGTATGTAAAGTCTGTTTCTGAATAATTTGGGAGCTCACTGATGCCAAAGGTGAAAAAGCGAATATCCCAGGATAAAAACTAGAAAGAAGTTATCTGAGAATCTGCTTTGTGATGTGTGCATTCATCTCACAGAGTTAAACCTTTCTTTTCTTTCAGCAGTTTAGAAACATTGTTTTGGTAGAATCTGCAAAGGGATATTTGCTAACACATTGGTGCCTATGGTGAAAAAGGAATCATCTTCAGATAAAAAAGAAAAAGGAGCTTTCTGAGAAACTGCTTTGTGATGTATGCATTTATCTCACAGAGTTAAACTTTTCTTTGGATTCAGCATTTTGGAAACACTGTATTTGTCCATTCTGTGAGTGAATATTTTGGAGCCCATTAAGGCCAAAGGTGAAAAAGTGAATATCCCAGGATAAAAGCTAGAATAAAGCTATCTGAGAAACCGGTTTGTGATGTGTGCATTCATTTCACAGAGTTAAACTTTCCTTTTCATTTAGCAGTCTGGAAACATTCTTTTTGGTAAAATCTGTGAAGGGACATTTAGGAACGCATTGAGGCCTATGGTGAAATAAGAAATATCTTCAGATAAAAAGTAGAAAGAATCATTCTGAGAAATTGCTTTGTGATCTCAACACACATCTCACAGACTTAAACCATTCTTTGGATTCAGCAGTTTGGAAACACCATTTTTGTAGAATCTGTGGTATTATATTTCATAGTTCATTGAGGCCAGAGGCAAAAAAGAAAATATACCAGGATGAAAACTAGAAGAAATCTATCTGAGAAACCACTTTGTGAAGTGTGCATTCATCTCACAGAGGTAAACTTTTCCTTTCCTTCAGCAGTTTGGAAAAACTGCTTGGGTAGTATATGCGAAGAGATACTTGGGTGTGCATTGAGGCCTGTGGTGAAAAAGCAAATATCTTCAGGAAAAAAGTGAGAAAGAAGCTTTCTAAGAGACTGCTTTGTGATATGTTTGTGTTCATCAAACAGAGTTAAAACTTTCACTGGATTAACCAGTTGGGAAACACTGTTTTTGTAGAATCTGTGAAGGAATATTTGATAGCTCATTGAGTCCATAGGGGTAATACCAAAAATCCCAGGATAAAAACTAGCAGGAAGCTATCTGAGAAACCCCCTTATGATGTTTGCATTCATCTCTGAAAGTTAAAACTTCCATTTCATGCAGCAGTTTGGAAACACTATTTTGGTAGTACCTACAAACAGACATTTGGGAACACATGGAATCCTAAGGTGAAAAAGGAAATAACGTCAGATGAAAACTAGAAAGAAGCTTTCTTAGAACTGCATTGCGTTGTGTGCATTCCTCTCACAATGTCAAAACTTTCTTTGGATTCAGTAGTATGGAAGCACTGTTTTTGTAGAATGTGTGAAGGGATATTTGGGAGCCCATTGAGGCCAAAGTCAAAAAAGTGAATATTCCAGCATAAAAACTAAAAGGAAGCTATGGGAGAAACTGCTTTGCAATGTGAGCATTCATCTCTTAAAGTTAAACCTTTCTTTTCATTCAGCAGTTTGGAAACACTGTTTTGGTAGAATCAGCAAAGGCATATTTGTCAGCAAAGGCATATTTGTGACCTCATTGAGGCCTATGGTGAATAAGGAAATATCTTCAGATGAAAACTAGAAAGAAGCTTTCTGAGAAACAGCTTTGTGATGTGTTCAGTAATCTCACAGAGTTAAATATTTCTTTTGATTCCGCTAACTGGTAACACTGTCTTTTTCCATTCTGCAAATGGACATTTGGGAGCTCATTGAGCACAATGGTGAAAAAGTGGATATTCCAGGATAAAAACTAGAAGAAAGTTATCTGAGAAACCAATTTTTGACAGGTGCATTCATCTTGCAGAGTTAAAACTTTCTTTTCATTCAGCAGTGCGGAAACTCTGATTTTGTACAATCTGCAAAGGGATATATGAGAGGGAATTGTGGCCTATTGTGAAAAAAAAATCTTCAGACAAAAATTCGAAAAAACTTTTCTGAGAAACTGCTTTGTGAGGTGTGCATTCACCTCACAGAGGTAAACCTTTCTTTGGATTCAGCAGTTTGGAAATACTGATTTTGTAGAATCTCAGAAGAGATATTAGATAGCTGCATTCTTCTCACAGAGTTAAAACTTTCTTTTCAATGAGCAGTTTGGAAACACTGTTTTTGTGGAATCTGTGAAGGGATATTTGGGAGCACATTTAGGCCTATGGTAGAAAAGGAAAAATCTTCAGATAAAAACTAGAAAGAAGCTTTCTGAGAAACTGCTTTGTGATGTATGCTTTCATCTCACAGAGTGAAAACTTTCTTTGGATTCAGCAGTTTGGAAACAGTTTTTGTCCATTCTGTGAATGGACATTTGAGAGATCATTAAGGCTGAAGGTGAAAAAGCAAATATCCCAGGATAAAAACTAGATGGAAGCTAACTGAGAAACCTGTTTTTGGTGTGTGCATTCATCTCACAGAGTTAAAGCTTTCTTTTCATTGAGCAGTGTGGAAAAACTATATTGGCAGAATCTGAAAGTGGATATTTTGGAGAGCATTGAGGCCTAGGTGAAAAAGGAAATATCTTCAGATAAAAAACAGAAAGAAGCTTTCTAAGAAACTGCTTTGTGATGTGGACATTCATCTCACAAGGTCAAATATTTATTTGGATTCATCAGTTTGGAAACACTGTTTTTGTCCATTCTGTGAATGGACATTCAAGAGTTCATTGAAACCAATGGTGAAAAAGTGAATATCCCAATATACAATATAGAAGAAACCTATCTGACATGCTGATGTGTGCGTTCATCTCACAGAGGTAAACCTTTCTTTGGATTCAGCCATTTGGAAACACTGTATTTTTAGAATTTGTGAAGAGACATTTGGGAGTGTATTGACGGCTATGGTGAAAAAAGAAACATCTTCACATAAATAATAGAAAGAAAAATTCCGACAAACTGCTTTGTGATGTGTGCATTCATCTCACAGAGTTAAACCTTTCTTTGGATTTAGTAATTTGGAAAAACTGTTTTTGTTCATTCTGTGAACGGACATTTAAGGGTTCATTGAGGCCGATGGCAAAAAAGTGAATATCTGAGGATAAAAACTATAACGAAGCTCTCTGAGGAACTGCTTTCAAATGTGTGCATTCATCTCACAGAGTTAAACCTTTCTTTACATTCAGCAGTTTAGAAACACAGTTTTTGTAGAATCTGCAAAGGGATGTTTGGGAACACATTTACAAGCATGGTGAAAAAGGAAATATCTTCAGATAAACACAAGACAGAAGCTTTCTGAGAACATGCTTTGTGATGTGTGCATTGTTGTCCCAAGGTTAGAACTTTGTTTTGATTCGGTAGTTGGGAAACACTGTTTTTGTAGTATCTGCAAAGGGATATTAAGGAGGGAATCAAGGCCGATGGTGAAAAAGGAAATATCTTCAGATTAAAAATTATAAAGAAGCTTTCTGAGACACTGCTTTGTGAAGAGTGCATTAATCTCACAGAGATAAAACTTTCTTTGGATTCACTAGTTTGCAAAACCTGTATTTGTAGAATCTGCTAAGGAATATTTGATAGCTCATTCAGGCCAAAGGCCAAAAAACAACTCTCAGAGGATGAAAACTAGATGGAAGCTATCTGAGAAACTGCTTTGTGATGTGTGAATTCATCTCAGGGATAAAAACCATTCTTTTCATTCAGCAGTTTGGAAACACTGTTTTGGTAGAATCTGCAAATGGATATTTGGGAGTGCATTGAAGCCTATGGTTAAAAAGTAAATATCTTCAGATAAAAACTGGAAAGCAGCTTTCTGAGAAACTGGTTTGTGATGTATCCATTCATCTCACAGAGTTAAACCTTTCTTTTCATTCAGAAGTTTGGAAACACTGTTATGGCAGAATTTGTGAAGGGAAATTTGGGAGCGCATTGAGGATTATGATGAAAAAGGAAATATCTTCAGAGAAAAACTAGAAAAAAGATTTCTGAGAAACTGCTTTGTGATGTGCACATTCATCTCACATAGTTAAAAGTTTCTTTGTATTCAGCAGTATGGAAATACTGTTTTTTTTTTAGAATCTGCAAAGGCATATTTGATAGCTCATAGAGGCCACAGGAGAAAAAGCTAATATCCCAAGATAAAAACTAGAAGGAAGTTACCTGAAAAACTGCCTTGTGATGTGTGCATTAATCTCGCAGTGTTAAACCTTTCTTTTCATTCAGCATTTGGAAACATTGTTTTGGTAGAATCTTTTAAGGGATATTTCTTAAAGCATTGACTCCTATAGTAAAAAAGGAAATATCTTTAGATGAAAAATAGAAAGAAGCTTTATGAGAAACTGCTTTGTGATGTTTGCATTCATCTCACAAAGTTCAAACTTTCTTTGGATTCAAAAGTCTGCAAACACTGCATTTGTAGAATCTGCAAAGGGATATTTGATAGCTCTTTCAGACCATAGGCTAAAAAGCAAATATCCCAGGATAAAAATGAGATGGAAGATATCTGAGAAAGTGCTTGGTGACATGTGCATTCATCTCGCAGAGTTAAACCTTTCCTTTCATTCCACAGTTTGAAAACACTGTTTTTGTAGAGTCTGTGAAGGGATATTTGGGAGCGCTTTGAGGCCTATGGTGAAAATGGAAATATCTTCAGATAAAAACTAGACAGAAGATTTCTGAGAATCTGCTTTGTGATGTGTGCATTCATTTCACAGAGTTAAATCTTTCTTTAGATTCAGCAGTTTGGAAACACTGTTTTTGTCAATTCTGTGAAAGGACATTTTGGAGCTCATTGAGGTCAGTGGTGAAAAAGCGAATATCCCAAGATAAAAACTAGAAGGAAGCTATTTGTGAAACGGTTTTGTGATGTGTGGATTCATCTCAGAAGTTAAACTGTTCCTTTCATTCAGCAGTTTGGAAACATTGTTTTTGTAGAATTTATGAAGACATATTTGAGAGCACATTAAGGCCTATTTTGAAAAAGGAAACATATTCAGATAAAAACTAGAAAGAAGCATTCTGAGAAACTGCATCATGATGTGTTCATTCATCTTTCAGAGTTAAACCATTCTTTGTATTCAGCACTTTTTTTTAACACTGTTTCTGTCCATTCAGTGAAAGGATATTTGGGAGCTCATCGAGGCCAATGGCAAAAAAGTGAATATCCCAGGATAAAAACCTGAAGACAGCTATCTGAGAAACTGCTTTACGATGTGTGCATTCATCTTGCAGGGTTACACGTTTCTTTTCATTCAGCAGCTTGGAAACCCTGCTTTGGTAGAATCTGCAAAGGGACATTTGGGATCACAATGAGGCTTATCATGAGAAAGGAAACATCTTTTGATGAAATCAAGAAAGAAGTTTTCTTAGAAACTGCTTTGTGATGTGTGCATTCATGTCATAGGGTTAAAACATTTCTTGCATTCAGTAGGTTGGAAACACTGTTTCTGTCGAACCTGTGAAGGTATATTTGACAGCTCATAGATGTTAAAGACAAAAAAAAAAAAGAATATCCCTGGATAAAAGCTAAAAGAAAGCTATCTGAGAAACTGCTATGTGATGTGTGCATTCGTCTTGAAGAGTTAAACGTTTCTTTTCATTAAGCAATTTGGAAACACTGTTTTTATAGAATCTACAAAAAGATATTTGAGACCGCATTGAGTCCTTTTATGAAAAAGGATATATCTTCAGATAAAAACTAGAAAGACGTTTTCTGAGAAACTGATTTGTGATGTGTGCACTCATCTCACAGAGTTAAATCTTTCTTTGGAATCAGCAGTGTGGAACCACTGTTTTTGTCCATTATATGAGTGGACATTTGGGAGCTCATTTAAGCCAATGGCAAAAAACCTAATATTCCAAGCTAATAACTAGAAAGAAGCTTTCTGAGAAACTGTTTTGTGATGTGTGCATTCATCTCACTGAATTTTAAATTCAGCAGTTTGGCAACACTGTTTTTGTAGAATCTGTGAAGGGATATTTGGGAGCGCATTGAGGCCTATGGTGCAAAAGGAAATATCTTCAGATAAAAACTAGAAAGAAGCTTTCTGAGAAAGTGCTTTATGATGTGTGTGTTCATCTCACAGAGTTAAAACTTTCTTTGAATTCAGCTGTTTTAAAACACTCTTTTTGTTCATTCTGCAAATGGACATTTGGGAGCTCATTGAGGCCAATGGTGAAAATGAGAATATACTGGGATAAAAACCAGAAGGAAGCTATCTGAGAAACTGCTTTGTGATGTCTGCATTCATCTCCCAGAGTTTAATGTTTCTTTTCATTCAGCATTTGGAAACACTATTTTTGTAGAATCTGTGAAGGGATATTTTGGAGCACATTGAGGCCTAGAGTGAAGATAGAAATACATTCAGATAAAAACTAGAAAGAAACTTTCTGAGTAACTGCATTGTGATGTGAGAATTCACCACAGAGAGTAAAACCTTTATTTGGATTCGTCTGTTTGAAACATTGTTTTTGTCCATTCTGTAAATGGACATTTGGGATCTCTTTGAGGCCAATGGCCAAAAGGTGAATATCCCAGGATAAAAACTAAAAGGAAGCTATCTGAGAAACTGCTTAGTGATGTGTGTGTTCATCTTGCAGAGTTAAACCCTTCTTTTCATTCAGCAGTTTGGAAACAATGTATTGATAGAATCCATGAAGGGGCTTTTGGGAATGCATGGAGGCCTATGGTGAAAAAAGAAACATTTTCAGATAAAAAGAAAAAATAAGCTTTCTGAGGAACTGCTTTAAGATGTTTGCATTCATCTCAGAGAGTTAATCTTTTCTTTGTATTCAGCAGTTTGGAAATACTGTTTTTGTAGTTTGAAGTTTAGAAAAACTTTTTGTAGCATATCCGAAGTGACGTTTGGGTGCTCATTGAGGCCCAAGGTGAAAAAGAAAATATCCCAGGATAAAAAATATTAGCATGCTATCTGAGAAACAGCTTTGTTATTTGTGCATTCAGCTTACAGAGTTAAACTTTCTTTTCATTCAGCATTTTGAAACTATTTTTTGGTAGAATCTGTGAAGGGATATTTGGGAGGGCATTAAAGCCTATGGTGAAAAAGAAAGTATCTTCAGACAAAAACTAGAAAGAATCTTTCTGAGAAACTACTTTGTGATGTGTGAGTTCATCTCACAAAGTTAAACCTTTGTTTGGATTCAGCAGCTTGGAAACAATGTTTTGTAGAATCCGCAAAAGGATACTATTTAGCTCATTGAGGCCAAATGCAAAAAGAGAATATCCCAGGATAAAAACTAGAAGAAAGCTATCTGAGAAAATGCTTTGTGATGTTTGCATTCATCTCATAGTGTCAGACCTTTCTGTTCATTCAGCACTTTGGAAACACTGTTTTCCTAGAAACTGCGAAGGGATATTTCTGAGCCCATTGTGGTCTACATTGAAAGAGGAAATATCTTCAGGTAAAAACTAGAAATAAGCTTTCTGAGAAACTTCTTTGTGATGTGTGTATTCATCTCACAGAGTTAAACTATTCTTTGGATTCAGCAGTTTGGAAACGCTGTTTTTGTCCTTTCTGTGAAAGGACATCTTGGAGCTCATTGAAGCCAATGGTGAAAAAGGGAATATTCCAGGTTAAAAAGTGGAAGGATGCTATCAGAGAAACTGCTTTGTGATGTGCAAATTCAATTCACAGAAGTAAACCTTTATTTTCATTAGACAGTTTGGAAACACTGTTTTGGTAGATTCTGCAAAAGGATATTGGGAAGTGAACTGAGACCTATGGTAAAAAATTAAATATATTCAGATGAAAACCAGAAAGAAGCTTTTAGAGAAACTGCTTTTTGATGTGTGCATTCATCTCACAGAATTAAAGTCGTCTTTTCATATAGATAGCTTCCTTCTAGTTTTTATAGTGGGATATTTGCTTTTTCATGATTGGCCTCAATGAGCTCCCAAATGTCCATTCACAGAATGGACAAAAACAGTGTTTACAAACTTTTGAATCCAAAGAAAGCTTTAAATCTGTGACATGAATGCATATATCACAAAGCAGTTTCTCAGAAAGCTTCTTTTGAGTTTTTATCTGAAGATGTTACCTTTTTCACCTTAGGCCTTAATGTGCTCCCAAATATACTTTCACAGATTTTACAAAAACATGGTTTCCAAACTGCTGAATGAAAAGAAAGTATTAACTCCACGAGATGAATGCACACATCACAAAGCGGTTTTTCAGATAGCATCCTTCTACTTTTTAACCTGGGATATTCTCTTTTTTGCCTATCACTTCAATGAGCTAATATCCATTTGCAGATTCTACAAAAACATTGTTTCCAAGCTGATGAATCCATAGAAACTTTTAACTCTGTAAGGTGAATGCACACATCTCAAAGCAGTTTCTCAGAAAGCTTCTTTCTAGTTTTTATCTGAAGATATTACCTATTTTTCTATAGGCCCCAATGCACTCCCCAATATCCCTTCAGAGATTCTACCAAAACAGTGCTTCCAAATGGCTGAATGAAAAGAAAAATTTATCGGTATGAGATAAATGCACACATAACAAAGTGGTTTCTCAGATAGCTTTCTTCTAGTTTTTATCCTTGGATATTCACTTTTTCACCTATGGACTCAATGAGCTAGCTATTGTCCCTTCACAGTGTCTCTGAAAGCTTCTTTCCAGTTTTCATCTGGAAATATTACATTTTTTCCATAGGTCTCAAGGCACTCCCAAATATCCCTTTGAAGATTCTACCAAAACAGTGTTTCCAAACTGCTAAATGTAAAGAAATGTTTAACTGTGTGAGATGAATGCACACATCACAAAGCAGTATCTCAGATGGCTTTCTTCTAGTTTTTATCCTTGGATAGAGGATTTTTCACCTTTGACCTCAATGAGCTAAAAGATGTACATTCATAGACTGTACAAAAACAGTGTTTCCCAACTGCTGAATCCAAGGAAAATTTTAACTCTGTGAGACAAATGCACACATCACAAAGCAGTTTCTCATAAAATTTCTTTCTAGTTATTATCTTAATATATTTCCTTTTTCACCATAGCCCTCAATGCACTGAAAAATATCCCTTCAAAGATTCTACAAAAACAGTGTTTCCAAACAGTTGTATGAAAAGAAAGGTTTAACTCTGTGAGGTGAATACACAAATCACAAAGCGGTTTCTCACATAGGTTCCTTCTAGTTTTTATCCAGGGATATTCTCTTTTTCAAATTTGGCCACAAAGAGCTCCAAATATCCCTTTGCAGATACAGCAAAAACAGTGTTTCCAAACTGCTGAATAGAAAAAAAATGTTTAACTCTATCAGATGAATGCACACATCACAAACCAGTGTCTCAGATATCTTCTTTCTAGTTTTCATCTGAAGATACTTCCTTTTTCACAGTATACCTCTATACGCACCAAAATATCCCTTTGCAGATTCTACCAAAACAGCATATGCAAAGAGCTGAATCCAAAGAAAGGTTTAGCTCAGTGAGTTGAATGCACACATCACAAAGCATTTTCTCAGAAAACTTCTTTCTAGTTTTTATCTGAAGTTATTTAATTTATAACCGTAGGACTCAATGCGCTCCCAAATATCCCTTCTCAGATTCTGCCAAAACAGTGTTTCTAAACCGTTGAATTAAAAGAAAATTTCAACTCTGGAAGATGAACGCACAGATCACAAAGCAGTTTCTCAGATAGCTTCCTTCTAGCTTGTATTCTTGTATATTCACTTTTTAGCCATTGGACTCAATGAGCTCCCAAATGTCCATTTGCAGAATGAACAAAACAGTGTTTCCAAACTGCTCAATTCAATGAAAGGTTTAATGCTGTGAGATGAATGCCCACATCATTTAGCAGTTTCACAGAAAGCTTCTTTCTAGTTTTTATCTGAAGATTTTTCCTTTTTCACTGTAGGCCTAAATGGGCTCCCAAATATCCCTTTGCAGTATCTACAAAACAAGTGTTTCCAAACTGCTGAATGAAAAGGAAGGTTTAACTCTGCCACGTGAATGCAAACATCAAAAATTGTTTTCTCAGAAAGCTTCCTTCTAGTTTTTATCTTTGGATATTCACTTTTTGCATTTGGCCTCAATGAGCTCCCAACTATCCCTTCACTGATCCTACAACAACAGTGTTTCCAAACTGCTGAATCCAAGGAAAAGTTTAACTCTGTGAGATTAATGTACACACAATAAAGCAGTGTCTCAGAAAGTTTCTTTCTAGTTTTAAAATGAAGATATTTCTTTTTTCACCATAGGCCTCAATGCACTCCCAAATATCCCTTTGCACATGCTACATTAATAGTGTTCCCAAACTGTTCAATGAAAAGAACATTTTAACTCTGTTAGAAGAATGCAAACATCACAAAGGGGATTCTCAGATAGCTCCCTTCTTGTTTTTATCCTAGGATATTAGCTTTTTGCCTTTGGCCTCAATGAGTTACCAAATATCCCTTCACAGATTTTACAAAGCAGTGTTTCCAAACTGCTGAATGGAAAAAAAAATTTAACTCTATGAGATGAACGCACACATCACAAAGTGGTTCTCAGATAGCTTCTTTATAGTTTTCATCTGAAGATATTTCCTTTTTTACAGTACACTTCTATGCACTCCCAAATATCCATTTGCAGATTCTAACAAAAGAGTGTTTCCAAACTGCTGAATGAAAAGAAAGGTTTAATTCTGTAAAATGAATGCACACATCACAAAGTGGTTTCTCAGATAACTTCCTTGTAGTTTTTGTCATGGGATATATGCTTTTCCACCTTTAGCCTCAATGAGCTCCCAAAAGTCCCTTCACAGAATGGAGAAAAACAGTGTTTCTAAACTTCTGAATCCAAAGAAAGGTTTAACTCTTTCAGACGTATGCACACATCAAAAAGCAATTTCTCAGAAAGCTTCTTCCAAGTTTTTATCTGTAGATATTTACTTTTTCATCATAGGCTTCAGTGTGCTCCCAAATATCCATTCACAGATTCTACCAAAACATGGTTTCTAACGTGCTGAATCAAAAGAAGTGTTTATCTCTGCCAGAGGAATGCATACATCACTAAGTGGTTTCTCAGAGAGTTCCTTTTAGTTTTTATCCTGGAACCTTTGCTTTTTCACCAATGGCCTCAATTAGCTATCTAATATCCCTTTTCAGATTCTATGAAAACAGTGTTCCAAACTGCTGTTTCCAAAGAATGGTTTAACTCTATGACGTGAATGCACACATCACAAAGCAGTTTCTCAGAAAGATTCTTTCTAGTTTTTATCTGGAGATATTTCCTTTTTCACCATAGGCCTCAATGCACTGCCAAACATAACTTCGCAAATTGTACCAAAACCGTGTTTCCAAACTGATGAATGGAAAGAAAGGTTGAACTCTGTGAGATGAATGCACACACCACAAAGCAGTTTCTCAGATACCTTCCTTCTAGTTTTTGTCCTGGGATATTTGCTTTTTAGACTTTGGCCTCAATGAGCAATACAATATTCTTTTGCAGATTGTACAAAAACAGTTTTTCCAATCTGCAGAATCCCAAGAAAATTTTAACTCTGTGAGTTGAATGTACACATCAGAAAACAGATTCTCAGATTGTTTCTTTGTAGTATTTATCTGAAGATATTTCCTTTTTCACCATTGACCTCCATGGGCTCCCAAATATCGCCTCGCAGATTCTACCAAAACAGTGTTTCCAAACTGCTGAATTGAAAACAAAGTTTTAATTCTGTAAAATGATTGCACACACCAAGAAATGGTTTCTCAGATAGTTTCCTGCGAGTATTTATGCTGCAACATTTGCTTTTTTACCTTTGGCATCCATAAACTATCAAATATCCCTTTGCAGATTCTACATAAACAGTGTTGCCAAACTGCTGAATTTAAAGAAAGGTTTAACTCTGTGAAATGAATGTAGACATTACAAAGCAGTTTCTCAGAAAGCTTCTTTCTATTTTTATCTGAAGATATTTCCTTTCTCACCATTGGCCTCAGTGCACTCCCTATAATACCTTCACAGGTTCTACTAAAATAGTGTTTCCAACAGCTGAATGAAAAGACAGGTTTTACTCTGTGGGATGAATGCACACATCACAAAGCGGTTTCTGAAATAGCTTCCTTCTAGTTTCTATTCTGGGATATTCTCTCTTTTGCGATAGGCCTCAAAGAGCTCCAAAATATTCCTCCACAGATTCTACAAAAACAGTGTTTCCAAATTGCTGAATCCCAAGAAAATTTCAACTCATTGAGGTGAATGCATGCATCACAAACCTGTTTCTCAGATAGCTTCCTTCTAGATTTTATCTTGAGATATTAGCTGTTTCATCTTCTTGCTCAATGAGCTCCCAAATATCCCTTTGCAGATTCTACAAAAACAGTGTTTCCAAACTGCTGAATCCAAAAAAAGGTTTAACTCTGTGAGATGAATGCAAACATCCCAAAGCAGTTTCTCCGAATGATTTTTTTAGTTTTCATCTGAAAATATTTCATTCTTCACCATAAGCCTCAATGTACTACCAAATATCCCTTCACATATTCTACAAAAACAGTGTTTCAAAACTGATGAATGAAAAGACATTTTTAAATCTGTGAGATTAATGCACACATCAAAAAGTGGTTTCTCAGATGGCTTCCTTCTAGTTTTTATCCTGGGATATTCGCTCTTTCACAATTTGCCTCAATGAGCTCCCAAATGTCCATTTGCAGATTGACAAAGACAGTGTTTCCAAACAGCTGAAAGCATAGAAAATTTGAACTCTGTGAGATGAATGCACACATGAAAGGCAGTTTCTCAGAGAGCTTCTTTCAAGTTTTTATCTGAAGATATTTCCTTTTTCACCATAGGCCTCAAAGTTCTCCCAAATATCGCTTTACCATTTTTACATAAATAGTGTTTCCACGGTGCTGAATAAAAAGAAAGTTTTAACTTGGTGAGAAGAATGCACACATCACAAAGCAGTTTATCAGAAAGCTTTTTTTCTGGTTTTCATATAAAGATGTTTCCTATTCACCATAGACATCAAAGAACTCCCAGAAATCTCTTAAAATATTCTACCAAACCAGGGCTTCCAAACTGATGAATGAAAAGATATGTTTATCTCTGTGAGATGAATGCACACAATACAAAGCGATTTCTCAGATAGGTTCCTTCTAGTTTTTATCCTGGGATAGTCACTTTTTCAACTATGGCCTTAATTATCTCCCAAATGTCCATTCACAGAATGGACAAAATCAGTGCTTCCAAACTGCTGAATGAAAGAAAGTTTTAACTCTGTGTGATGAATACATGCATCACAAAGCGGTTTCTCAGATGGCTTCCTTCTAGTTTTTATCTTGAGATATTCATTTTTTCACCTTGGACTCAATGAGCTTCCAATTATCCGTTTGCTGAATGGACAAAAACAGTTTTTGCAAACTACTGAGTCCAAAGAAAGGTTTAATTCTATGATATGAATGCACGCATCACAAAGAACTTTCTCATAAAGCTTCTTTCTAGTTTTTATCTGAAGATATCTCCTTTTTCACCATATGTCTCAATGTGCTCCCAAATATTCCCTCACAGATTCTACAAAAACAGTGTTTCCAAACTGCTGAATGAAAAGAAATGTTTAGCTCTTTGAAATGAATGCACACATCACAAAGAGGTTTCTCAGTTAACTTCCTTCTAATTTTTATCCTGGGCTATTTTATTTTTCACCTTTGGCCTCAGTAAGCTCCCAAATGTCCATTCAGAGAATGGACAAAAACAGTGTTTCCTATCTGCTTAGTGAAAAGAAAGGTTTAACTCTGCCAGCTGAAGGCCCACATCAAAAAGCAATTTCTCTTATAGCTTCCTTCTACTTTTTATTCTGGGATATTCATTTTTTTCACGTTTGTCCTCAATGAGCTCCCAAATATTCCTTCACAGATTTTACAAAAACAGTGTTTCCATCTTGCTGTATCCAAGGCAAGGTTCAACTCTGTGAGATGAATGCACATGTCACAAAGCGATTTCCCAGAAATGTTCTCTCTAGTTTTATCTGAAGATATTTTGTTTTTCACCATAAGCCTCAATGCGCTCCCAAATATCCCTTCACAGATTCTACCAAAACAGTGCTTCCAATTTGCTGAAAGAAAAGAAAGTTTTAACTCTGGGAGTTGACTTCAGACATAAAAATGCTGTTTCTTAGATAGCTTCCCTCTAGTTTTTACCTTGGGATATTCACTTTTTCACAATTGGCCTCAAAGAGCTCCCAAATGTCCATTCACAGAATGGACAAAAACAGTGTTTCCAAACTGCTGAATACAAAGAAAGGTTAACTCTGTGAGACGAATGCACACATCAGAAAGCAGTTTCTCTGAAAGCTTCTTTGTAGTTTTTAATCTGAAGATATTTCCCTTTTCACCATAGACCTCAATGCACTCCTAAATATCCCTTCACAGATTCTACCAAAACCGTGCTTCCAAACTGCTGAATGAAAAGAAAGTTTTAACTCCATGAGTTGAATTCACACATCAGACAGGGCTTTATCAGATAGCTTCCTTCTAGTTCTCATCCTGGATTGTTCACTTTTTTGCCATTGGCCTCAATGAGCTCACAGATACCTTTCATATAGTGCACAAAAACAGTATTTCCAAACTGCTGGATCCAAAAGAAAGGTTTAACTCAGTGAGATGAATGCACACATCACAAAGCAGTTTCTCAGAATGCTTCCTTCTGGTTTTTATCTGAAGATATCTCCTTTTTCACCTTAGGCCTCAAAGCACTCCCATATATCCCTTTGCACATTCTACAAAAGCATTGTTTCCAAACCATTGAATTAAAAGGAAGGTTTCTCAGATAGATTCCTCCTTGTTTTTCTCCTGGTATATTCACCTTTTCACCTTTGGCCTCAATGAACTATCAAATAACTGTTTGCATATTTTACAAAAACAGTGTTTCCAAACTATTCAAAGAACTGTTTATCTCTGTCAGATGAATGCACACATCACAAAGCAGTTTCTCAGGTAGCTTCTTTCTAGGTTTTATTTGAAAATAATTCTCTTTTCACCATAGTCCTCAATGCACTCCTTGTTATCCCTTCACAGATTCTACAGAAGCATTGATTCCTCATTGCAGAATAAAAAGAAAGGTTTAACTTTTTCTCCAAAGGCCTCAATGTGCTCCCAAGTATCCCTTCGTGGATTCTGCCTTAATGGTGTTTCTAGATTATTGAATGGAAAGAGAGTTTTAACTCTGTGAGATGCATGCACACATCACAAAATGGTTTCTCAGATAGCTTCCTTCTAGTTTTTATCCTGGGATATTCCCTTTATTGCTATTGGCCTCAATGAGTCCCAAATGTTCATTCACAGAATGGACAAAAACAGTGTTTGCAAACTGCTGAATCCACAGAAAGTTTTAACTCCGTGAAGTGAATGCACACATATCAAATCCGTTTCTCAGAAAGCTTCTTTCAAGTTTTATCTGAAGATAATTCCTTTTAACCACAGGCCTCAATGTTCTCCCTTTGTGTATTCTACCAAAACAGTGTTTCCAAAATGCTGAATGAAAATAAAGATTTTAATCTGCGAGATGAATGCACACATCCCAAAGCAGTTTGTCGGATAGCTTCCTTCTACTTTTTATCCTGGGATATTCACTTTTTCACATTTGGCATCAATGACGTCCCAAATATTCCTACGCAGATTCTACAAAAACAGTGTTTCCAAACTGCAGAATGGAAAGAATGAATTAACTCTGTGAGTTGAACGCACATATTACAAAGCAGTTTCTCAGAAAGCTTCTCCCAGTTTTTATCTGAAGATAATTCCTTTTTCACCATAGGCCTCAATGGGTTCCCAAATATCCCTTCACCAATTCTATGAAAACAATGTTTCAAAACTGCTGAATGAAAAGAAAGGTTGAACTCTCTGAGATGAATGCACACAACCTCAAGGCAGTTTTTCAGGTAGCTTCCTTCTAGTTTTTATCCTGGGATGTTTGCTTTTTCACCTTTGGCATCTACAAAAACAGTGTTTCCAAACTGCAGAATGGAAAGAATGATTTAACCCTGTGAGATGAATGCACACATCACAAAGCAGTTTCTCAGAAAGCTTCTTCTGGTTTTCATCTTAAGATATTTCCTTTTTCACCATAGGCCTGAGTGGGGTCCATAATATCCATTGGCAGATTCTATGAAAACAGTGTTTTGAAACTGCTGAATGAAAAGAAAGCTTTAACTCTGTGAGATCAATGCACACATCACAAAGTGGTTTCTCAGAAATCTTCCTTCTAGTTTTTACACTGGGATATTTGATTTTTTGCCTTTGGTCTCAATGAACCCCCAAATATCTCTTTGCAAATTCTACAGGAACAGTGTTTCATAACTGCTGAATCCAAAGAAAGGTGTAACTCTTTGAGATGAATGAACACATCACAAAGTTGTTTCTCAGAAAGCTTCTTTCAAATTTTATCTAAAGATATTTTCTTTTTCACCATAGGCCATATTGCCTTCCAAATATGCCTTTGCATATACTTCAAAAACAGTGTTTCCAATCTGTTGAATGAAAAGAAATTTTAACTCTGCCAGATGAATGCACACATCACAACGTGGTTTCTCAGATATCATTTTTCTAGTTTTTATCCTGAGATGTTCCCTTTCTCACCATTGGCCTCAATGAGCTCCCAAATGTCCATTCCCATAATGGACTAAAACAGTGTTTCCAAACTGCTGGATCCAAAGAAATGTATAACTCTGAGATAAAAGCAAACATCATTAAGCAATTCTTCCGAAAGTGTCTTTCTAGTTTTTATCTGTAGATATTTCCTTTTACACCAAAGGCCTCAACGTGCTCCCAAATATCCCTTTGCTGATACAACAAAAAGAGTGTTTCCAAACTGCTGAATGAAAAGAAAAGTTTAACTGTGAGATGAAGGCACACATCACAAAGCGGTTTCCCAGATAGCTTCCTTCTAGTTTTTATCCTGGGATATTCACTTTTTCACCATTGGCCTCAATGAGATCCCAGATATCCATTAGCAGAATGGGCAAAAAAAGTGTTACCCAACTGCTGAATCCAAACAAAGTTTTACCTGTATGAGAAGAATGCACATACCCAAACCAGTTTCACATTAAGCTTATTTCTTGTTTTTATTTGAAAATAATGCCTTTTTCACCATAGGCCTCAATGTGCTACGAAATATATCTTCACAGATTCTAAGAAAACACTGTTTCCAAACTGCTGAATGAAAAGGAAAGTTAAACTCTGTGACATGAATGCACACATCACAAATCATTTTCTCAGATAACTTCCTTCTAGTTTTTATCCTGGGGTATTTGCTTTTTTGCCATTGGCCTCAGTAAGCTCCAAAATGTCCATTCACAGAATGGACAAAAACGGTGTTACCAAACTGCTGAATCCAAAGGAAAGTTTAACTCTGTGAGATCAATGAACACATCACAAAGCAGTTTCTCAGAAATCTTCTTTCTAGTTTTTATCTTAAGATACTTCCTTTTCCACCATAGGCACCAATGTGCTGCCAAATATCCTTTCACATTTCCTACAAAAACAGTGTTTCCAAAATGCTAAATGAAAAGAAAGGTTTAACTCTGCTAGATGAATGCACACATCACAAAGAGTTTTCTCAGATAGCTTCCTTCTAGTTTTAATCCTTGGATATTTTCTTTTTTCCAATGGCCTCAATGAGCTCCCAAATGTCCATTCATAGAATGGACAAAACAGTGTTTCCAAACTGCTGAATCCAAAGAAAGGTTTAACTCTCTGAGATGAATGCACACATCCCAAACCAGTTTGTCATTAAACTTCTTTCTAGTTTTTATTTGATGATATTTCCTTTTTCACCATAGGCCTTTATACACTGCTAAATATCCTTTTACAGTTTCTACAAAAACAGTGTTTCCAAACTGCTGAATTAAAAGAAGGGTTTAACTCTGTTAGATGAATGTGCACATCACAAAGTGGTCTCTCAGATAGCTTCCTTCTAGTTTTAATCCTGAGATATTCTCTTTTTCACCAGTGGCCTCAATGAGCACCAAAACCTTCTTTCGCAGAATGGACAAAAGCAGTGTTACTGAACTCCTGAATCCAAAGAAAGGCTTAATTCTGTTAGAAGAATGAACACAGCACAAAGCAGTTTCTCAGAAACTTTCTTGCCAGTTTTTATCTGAATATATTTCCTTTTTCACCATGGGCCTAAATGTGCTGACACATATTCTTTCTCAGTTTCCACAAAAGCAGTGTTTCCAAACTGTTGAATGAAAAGAAAGGTTTAACTGCAATATGAATGCACACATCATAAAGTGGATCCTCAGATAAAATCCTTGTAGTTTTCATCCTGGGATATTCACTTTTTCACCATTGGCCTCAAAGATCTCCCAAATGTCCTTTTGCAGAATGGACAAAAAGAGTTTTTGCAAACTACTGAATACACAGAATGGTTGAACTCTGTGAGATGAATTCACACAACACAAAGCAGTTTCTCAGAAAATTTCTTTCTAGTTTTTATCTGAAGATATTGCCTTTTTCACCACAGGCCTCAAATTGCTCCCAGATATCCCTTCACAGATTCTACGAAAACACTGTTCCCAAAGGGCTGAATGAAAATAAAGGTTTTACTCTGTGAGATGAATGCACACATCACAAAGTGATTTCTCAGATAGCTTCCTTCTAGTTTTCATTCTGGGATATTTGCTTTGTTGCCATTGGCCTCAATAAGCTCCAAAACATCAATTCACAGATTTTTTAACAACAATGTTTTCATACTGCTGAATCCAAAGGAAGATTTAACTCTGTAAGAAGAATACACGCATCACCAAGTGGTTTCTCAGATAGCTTCTTTCTAATTTTTATCTGAAGTTATTTCTTTTTTCACCATAGGCCTCTAGGCACTCCCAAGTATAACTTCATAGATTTTACAAAACAGTTTCCAAACTGCTGAATGAAAAGAATGTTTTAACTCTGAGAGATGAATGCACACATCACAAAGTGGTTTCTCACATAGCTTCCTTCTAGTTTTTACCCTGTTATATTCTGTTTTTTCTCTTTGGCTTCATTAAGCCCCCAAATATTCCTTAGCATATTCTACAACAGTGTTCTGAACTGCTGAATGCAGTGAGAGATTTAATTCTGTTGGATGAATGCACACTTCACAAAGCAGTTTCATAGAAAAGTTCTTTCTACTTTTTACTTGAAGTTATTTCCTTTTTCACCTGAAGTTATTTCCTTTTTCACCATAAGCCTCAGTGAGCTCCCAAATACCTTCACAGATTCTGTGAAAACAGTGTTTCCATACTGCTGAATGAAACAAAAGCTTTAAGGCTGCAAGATGAATGTTCACATCACAAAGCGGTTCCTCAAGTAGCTTCCTTCTAGTTTTTATCCTGGGATGTTTGCTTTTTCACCATTGGCCTGTATGAGTGCTCAAATATCTCTTCACAGATGCTACAAGAGCAGTATTTCCAAACTGCCAAATCCAAAGACAGGTTTAAGTCTGTGAGATGAATGGACCCATCACAAAGCAGTTTCTCCGAAAGCTTCTTTCTAGTTTTTATCTAAAGATATTTCCTTTTTCACCATAGGCCACAAAGCACTACGAGATATCCCTTTGTGGATTTTCCAAAACAGTGTTTCCGAACTGCTGAATGAAAAGAAAGGTTTAACACTATGAGATAAATGCACACATCACAAACCAGCTTCTCAAAGAGCTTTCTTCTAGTTTTTACCCTGGGATATTCACTTCTTCACCGTTGACCTCAATGATCCCTTCACAGATTCTACAACAACAGTATTTCCAAAATGCTGAATCAAAAGAAAGTTTTAATTCTTTGTGATATGTGCATCTTTGTGATGGATGCACATATCATAAAGCCATTTCTCAGAAATATTCTTTATAGTTTTTTTCTGAAGATATTTCCTTTTTCAACATAGGCCTCAATGTACTCCAAAATATCCCTATGGGGATTCTGCCAGAGCAGTGTTTCCAGATTGCTGAATGAAAAGCAAGTTTTACTTCTGTGAAGTGAATGCATACATCACAAAACTGTTTCTCAGATAGCTTCCTTCTAGTTTTTGTCCTGGAATATTTGCTTTTTCACCATTGGCCTAAATGAGCTCTCAAATATCCCCTCACCAATTCAACGACAACAGGATTTCCAAACTGCTGAATCAAAAGAAAGGTTTAACTCTGGGAGATGAATGCACATATCAAAAAGCAGTTTCCCAGAATGCTTCTTTCTAGTTTTTATCTGAAGATATTTCCTTTTTCACCACCAGCCTCAATGTGCTCCCAAATATCTCTTCGTGGATTCTGCCAAAACAGTGTTTACAGACAGGTGTGTCAAAAGAAAGTTTTAACTCTGCGATGTGAATGTGCGCATCACAAAGCAGTTTCTCAGATAGCTTCTTTCTAGTTTTTATCTTGGGATATTTTCTTTTTCGCCATTGGCTTCAATGAGCTCCCAAATGTCCATTTGCAGAATGGACAATTTGTTGTTTCCAAACTGCTGATTCCACAGAAAGTGTTAACTCTGTGAGATGAATGCACACTTCAGAAATCTGTTCCTCAAGTAGCTTTCTTCTAGTTTTCATCCTGAAACATTCCCTTTTTTGCCATTGACGTCAAAGAGCTCCAAAATGTCCATCTGCAGTAAGTTTAAAACAGTGTTTGCAAACTGCTGAATCCACAGAAAGATTTAACTCTGTGAGTTCAACCCACACATCACAAAGCACTTTCTCAGAAAGCTTCTTTCTAGTTTTTATCTGAAGTTATTTCCCTTTTCACCACAGGCCTCCGTGCACTCCCAAATATCCCTTCAGAGATATGGCCATAACAGTGTTTCCATATTGCTGAATGAAAAGTAAGTTTTACTCTGTGAGGGGAATGCACACATCAGAAAGCTGTTTCTCAGATGGCTTCCTTCTAGTTTTTATCCTTGGATACTCACTTTTTGGCTACTGGTCTCAAAGAGCTCCCAAAATATTCCTTCACAGATTCTACAAGAACAATGTTTTCAAATCGCTGAATCCACAGAGTGGTTTAACTCTGTGTGGTGAATGCACACATCACAAAGCAGTTTCTCAGAAAAGTTCTTTCTAGTTTCTACTGAAGATATTTCCTTTTTCACCGTAAGCTTCAATATACTCCCAGATATCTTTTTGCAGTTTCTATGAATACAGTGTTTCCAAACTGCTGAATGAAAAGAAAGGTTTAACTCTGTGAGGTGAATGCATACATCACAAAGCAGTTTCTCAGACATCTTCTTTTTAGTTTTTATCTGGATATTCTTTTTTTTGCCATTGGCCTCAGTGAGCTCCCAAATGTCCATTTGCAGAATGAACAAAAACTGTGTTTCTAAACTGCTGAATCAAAAGAAAACTTTGATTCTGTTAGGAGAATGTACACTTCTCAAAGCCGGTTCTTAGAAAGCTTATTTCTAGTTTTTAACTTCACATGTTTTCTTCTTCATATTAGGCCTTAATGTGCTCTGAAATATCACTTCACATATTCCACAAAAACAGTGTTTCCAAACTGCTGAATGAAAAGATAGGTTTAACTCTGTGAGATCAATGCACACATCACAAAGCACTTTCTCGGATAGCTTCCTTCTAGTTTTTACCCTGGAATATTCACTTCATCGCCATGGGCCTAAATGGGCTCCCACAAGTGCATTCACAAAATGGACAAAAACAGTGGTTCCATAGTGCTGAATAAAAGAAAGGTTGAACTCTGTGACATGAATACACACATCACAAAGCAGATTCTCAGAAATACTCTTTCCTTTTTTTATCTAAAATATTTTTTCACCATAGGCATGATTGTGCCGCCAAATATTGCTTCACAGATTCTACAAAAACAGCTTTTATAAACTGCTGAAGGAAAAAGTGAGGTTTAACTCTGTGGGATGAATGTGCACATCACAGAGCAGTTTCTCAGATAGCTTCCTTCTAGTTTTTATTCTGGGATATTCGCTTTTTCATCATTGTCCTCAATGAGCTCCAAAATGTACATTTGCAGATTGGACAAAAGCAGTGTTTCCAAAATGCTGAGTCAAAAGAAAGTTTTAACTCTGTGAGATGTATGCACACATCACAAAGCAGTTTCTCCAAAAGCTTTTTCTACTTTTTATCTGAAGATATTTCCTTTTTCAACATAGGCCTCTAAGTACTCCCAAATATCCCTTTACAGATTTTACAAAAATAGTGTTTTCAAACTGCTAAAAGAAAATAAAGGTTTAACTCTGTGAGATAAATGCACACATCACAAAGCAGTTACTCAGGTAGCTTCCTTGTGGTTTTTTTTCCTGGGATATTCGCTTTTTCACCATAGTCCTCAATGAGCTGCCAAATGTCCATTCACAGAATGGACAATAAGAGTGTTTCCAAACTGCTGAATCCAAGAAAGGCTTAAATCTGCGAATTGAATGCACACTTCCAAAGCAGTTTCTCAGAAAGCTTCTTAATTATTTTTATCTGAAGATATTTTCCCTTTCACCATAAGCCTCAATGCACTCCCACATATACCTTCACAGATACTACAAAAACAGTGTTGCCAAACTCCTGAATGAAAACAAAGCTTTATCTCTGTGAGATGAATGCTTACATCACAAAGTGGTTTATCAGATAGCTTCCTTCCAGTTTTTATCCTGAGATATTTGCTTTTTTGCCATTGGCCTCAATGATCTCCCAAATGTCCATTCTGGGAATGGACAAAAACAGTGTTTCCAAACTGCTGAATCATAAGACAGTTGTAACTCTGAGATGGCTGCACACATCACAAGGTCATTACTCAGATAGCTTTCTTCTAGTTTTTATCCTGGGACTCAATGAGCTCCGAAATGTCCATTCACAGAATGGAAAAAAAAAACAGTGTTTCCAAACTGCTGAATCATAAGAAAAGTTTAACTCTGTGAGATGAATGCACACATCACAAAGAAGTTTCTGAGAAAGCTTATTTTCACTTTTTATTGGAAGATATTTTCTTTTTCACCATACTCCTCATTGCACTCCCAAACATCCCTTTGCAAACCCTTCAAAAACAGTGTTTCCAAACTACTGAATCAAAAGAAAGGTTTAACTCAGTGAGATGAAGGCACATATTGCAAAGTGGTTTCTCAGATTTCTTCCTTACAGTTTTTATCCTGGAATATTTGCTTTTTCACCCTTGGCATTGATGAATTCCCAAATGTCTATTCGCAGAATGGACAAGAACAGTGTTTCAAAACTGCTGAATTAGAAGAAAGGATTTGCTCTGCGAGATGAAGACACATATAACAAAGCTTTTACTCAGATAGCTTCCTTCTTTTTTATCTTGGTATATTCACTTTTTGTATTAAACCTCAATGGGCTCCCAAATGTTCATGCACAGAATGGACAAATACAGTCTTTCAAACTGCTGAATAAAAAGGAAGGTTTAACTATGTGAGATGAATGCACATATCACAAAACGTTTTCTCAGATGGATTCCTTCTTGGTTTTATCCTGGTTTATTCAATTTTTCGACATTGCCCTCAATGAGTTGCCAAATGTCTTCTCACAGAATGAACAAAAACAATGTTTCCAAATTGCTGAATCAAAAGAAACTTGTAACTCTTTGAGATGAATGCACACATCATAAAGCAGTTTCTCAGAAAAACTCTTTCTAGTTTTTATCTGAAGATACTTTCTTTTTCACCTTATGCCTCAATGTGCTTCCAAATATCCCTTCACAGTTTCTACAAAAGGAGTGTTTCCAAACTGCTGAATGAAAAGAAATTTTAACTTTGCAAGGTGAATACTCACATCAGAAAGTGGTTTCACAGATAACTTTTTTCTAGCTTTTATCCTGGGATAGTCACAGTTTCTGAGAAACTGCTTTGTGTTGTGTGCATTCATCTCAAAGAAATAAAACTTTCTTTAGATTCAGAAGTTTGGAAACACTGTTTTTGTCCATTCTGTGAATGAACATTTAGGAGTTTATTGAGGCCAATAGTGAAAAATCGAATATCCCAGGATAAAAACCAGAAGAAAACCATAGAAGAAACTACTTTCTGATATGTGTATTCATCTGCAAATTTTACCTTTCTCTTCTTTCAGCAGTGCAGAAAAACTTTTTTTGTATAATCTGCAAAGTGGTATATGAGAGCTCATTGAGGCTTAGGATGAAAAGAAATTATCCTCAAATAAGAACTAGAAAGAAGCTTTCTGAGAAACTGCTTCATGATGTGTGCATTCATCTCACAGAGTTAAACATTTCTTTGGATTCAGCAGTTTGGAATCACGGGTTTCATTCACTCTATGAAATGATATTTGGGAGCTCACAGAGGACAATGGTAAAAAACTGAATACCCCAAATAAAACTGGAAGGAAGCTGAGAAACCTCTTTGTCATGTGTGCATTCAAGTCACAAAGTTAAACCTTTCTTTTCACTCAGCAGTTTGGAAAAACTTTTTTTCTAGAATCTGTGAAGGCATATTTTGGAGTGCATTGAGGACTATGGTCAAAAAGAAAGTATCTTCTGACAAAAAATAGAAAGAAACTCTCTGATAAACTTATTTGTGATGTGTGCATTCATCTCACCTAGGTAAAACTTTCTTCTCATTCAGCAGATTGGAAATACTTTTTGTAGAATCTGCAAAGGGATATTTGTGGTGCATTGAGGTCAATGGTTAAAAAGGAAATTTCTACAGATGAAAACAAGAAAGAAGCTTTCTTAGAAATGGCTTTGTGATGTGTGCATTCATCTCTGAGTTCATCTTTTCTTTTGATATGGCAGTTTGGAAATGCTGTTTATTTCCATGGGGAAATAGAAAATGTCTTCAGAGAAAAACTACAAAGAAGATTTCTGAGAAACTGTTTTATGATATGTGCATATATCTCACAGAGTTAAATTTTTCTTTTAATTCATCCGTTTGTAAATCCTTTGTTTGTTCATTATGCAAATTTACATTTGGGAGCTCATTGAGGCCAATGGTGAAAATGCGAATGTTCCAGGATAAAAACAAGAATTAAGCTATCTGAGGAACTGCTTTGTCATATGTGCATTCATCTCACAGAGCTAAACTTTTCTTTTGACTCAACATTTTGGAAACACTGTATTTGAAGCATCTGCGAAGGGATATTTGGTAGTGCATTGAGGCCAAATGGTGAAAGAGAAAATATCTTCAGATAAAAACTAGAAAGAAACATTCTGAGAAACTGCTTGTGATATGTGTATTCATCTCACAAAGTTAAAACTTTCTTCGGATTCAGCGGCTGTTTGGAAATACTGTTTTTGTCCATTTTGTGAATGGACTTTTGGGAGCTCATTGAGGCCAAAGGCAAAAAAGCAAATATCCCAGTATAAAAACTAGAAGGAAGCTATCTGAGAAATGACTTTATAATGCATACATTCATCTTGCAGAGCTAAACCTTTTCTTTCATTTAACAGTTTGGAAACATTGTTTTTTGTAGAATCTGTGAAGGGATATTTCAGAGTGCTTTGAGGCCTATGGTGAAAAAGGAAACGTCTTCAGATAAAAACTAGAAAGAAGCTTTCTGAGAAACTGCTTTGTGATGTGTGCATTCATCTCACAGAGTTAAAACTTTTTTTTGATTCAGCAGTTTGAAAACACTATTTTTGTCCATTCTGCAAATGGATCTTTGGGAGCTGATTGAGGCCAATTGCAAAAAAGTGAATATCCCAGAATAAAAACTAGAAGGAAGCTGTCTGAGAAACCGCTTCATGATGTGCACATTCATCTCACAGAGTTAAACATTTCCTTCCATTCAGCACTTTGGAAACACTATTTTTGCAGTTTCTGTGAAGGGATATTTGGGAATACATTGAGGCCTTTGGTGAAAAGGAAATATCTTCAAATAAAAAATAGAAGTAAGGTTTCTGTGAAACGTCTTTATGGTGTGTGCATTCCTCTCACAGATTTAAAACTTTCTTTCAGTTTATCAGTTTGGAAACTGGTTTTGTACATTCTGTGAGTGGACATTTGGGAGCTCATTGAGGTGAATGGTGAAAAAGCAAATATCCCAGGATAAAAAGAGAAGGAAGCTACCTAAGAAGCCCCTTTGTGATGTGTGCATTCATCTCACAGCATTAAAACTTTCTTTTCATTAACTAGTTTGGAAACACTGTTTTCGTATATTCTGTGAAGGAATATTTAAGAGTGTACTGGGGCCTACAGTGAAAAATTAAACATCTTCAGATAAAAACTAGAAAGAGGCTTCCTGACAAATTCCTTTCTGATGTGTGCATTCATCTCACGAAGTTAAACTTTTCTTTGGATTCATCTGTTTGGAAACACTGTTTCTGTCCATACTGCAAATCAACAATTCAGAACTGATTGAGGTCAATGGCAAAAAAGAGAATATACCGGGATAAAAACTAGAAGAAATGTACCTGAGAAACCGTTTTGTGATGTGTGCACTCATCTCACAGATTTAAACCTTTCTTTTCATTCAGCAGTTTGGAAAAAATGATTTTGTAGAGTCTGCAAAGGGATATTTGGGAGTGCCTTGAGGCCTATGGTTAAAAAGGAAACATCTTCAGACAAAAACTGGAAAGAAGTTATCTGAGAAACTGCTTTTTGCTGTGTACATTCGTCTTAGAGATTTAAACACTTCTTTGAATTCTGCAGTGTGGAAAGACTGTTTATGTCCCTTCTCTGAATAGACATGTGGGAGCTCATTGATGCCAATGGCAAAAAAAGGGAATATCCCAGGATAAAATCTAATGGGAACCTATCTGAGGAACTGCTTTGAGATGTGTACATTCATCTCACTGCAATAAAATTTTCTTTTAATTCAGCCTTTTGGAAACACTCTTTTTGTCCATTCTGTGAATGGACATTTGGGAGCTCACTGAGGGTAATAGTGAAAAAGCAATTATCCCAGCATAAAAACTAGAAGGAAGCTATCTGAGAAACTGCTTTGTGATGTATGTGTTCAATGCAGAGAGAGAAAATTTTCTTTTCATTCAGCAGCTTGGAAACACTGTTTTTGTAGAAACTGGGAGTACATTGAGGTGTATGGTGAAAGAGGAATCATCTTCATATAAAAACTAGAAAGAAACTTTCCAAGAAACTGTTTTGTGATGTGTGCATTCATCTCACAAAGTTAAAATTTTCTTCGAATTCAGCAGTTTGGAAACAGTGTTTTTGTCCATCCTGTGAATGAACTCTTTGGAACTCATTGAAGCCAATGGCAAAAAAGTGAATATCCCAGGATAAAAACTAGGAGTAAGGAATCAGAGAAACGGTTTTGTGATGTGTGCATTCATCTCACAGAGGTAAACTTTTCTTTTCATTCAACAGTTTGGAAACACTGTTTTTCTAGAATCTGTGAAGGAATATTTGGGAATGCATTGATGCTTATAGTGAAAAAGGAAACATCTGCAGAAGAAAACTAGAAAGAAGTTTTCTGGGAAACTGCTTTTTGATGTGTGCATTCATCTCAGAGATTTAAACCTTTCTTTGGATTCTGCAGTGTGGAAAATCCGTTTATGTCCATTCTGCGAATGGATATGTGGGAGCTCATTGATACCAATGGCAAAAAAGTGAATATCCCAGGAAAAAATCAAGCAGGATCCTATCTGAGGAACCGCTTTCTGATGTGTGCATTCATCACAGAGAGTTAAGACTTTCCTTTCATTCAGCAGTTTGGAAACACTACTTTTGTGCAATGTGCAAAGGGATATTAAGGAGCTCATTGAGGTCTACTGTGAAAAAGGAATCATCTTCAGATAAAAAATAGAACGAAGCTTTATGAGGAACTGCTTTGTGATGTGTGCATTCATCTCATAGAGTTGAAACATTCTTTGGATTCAGCAGTTTGGAAACAATGTTTTTGTCCATTCTGTCAATGGACATTTGGTATCTCATTGAGGCCAATGGTGAAAAAGCAAATATCTCAGGATAAAAACTAGAAAGAAGCTATCTGAGGAACCACTTTGGATATGTGCATTCATCTCATGGAGTTAAACCTTTCTATTCATTCAGCAGTTTGGAAAAGCTGTTTTTGACATCTTCTGCAAAGAGATATTTTGGAGTTCATTGTGGCCTATGGTGAAAAAGGAAACATCATCAGATAAAAACTAGAAGGAAGCTTTCTGAGAAACTGCTTGGGATGTGTGCATTCCTCTCACAGAATCAAACATTTCTTTGGATTCAGTAGTTTGAAAACACCTTTTTTATCCATTCTGTGAATGGAGAATTTGGAGATCATTGAGGTTAATGGGGAAAAAGTGAGTATCCCAGCATTAAAGCTAGAAGGAAGGTATCTGAGAAACTGCTTTGTGAGCTGTGCATTCACCTCACAGAGTTAAACCTTTCTTTTCATGCAGCAGTTTGGAAGCACTATTTTTGTAGAATCTGCAATGGGATATTTGGGAGACATTGAGGTCTATGGTGAAAAAGGAAACATCTTCAGATAAAAACTAGAAAGAAGCTTTTTGAGAAACTGCTTTGTGATGTGTGCATTCTTCTCACAGAGTTAAACTTTTTCTTTAATCAACAGTTTGTAAAGTCTCTTTTTGTCCATTCTGCAAATGGACTTTTCGGAACTCATTGAGGCCAAATGTGAAAAAGCCAGTATCTCTGGATAAAAACTAGAAGTTAGCTTTCTGAGAAATTGCTTTGTGATGTGTACATTCATCTCACAGAGTTAAACCTTTCTATTCAGTCAGCAATTTATAAACAATGTTTTGGAATCTTATGTGAAGGGATATTTGGGTGCGCATTTAGGCCTATGGTGAAAAAGGAAATATCTTCAGAAAAAAACTATAAAGAAGTTTTCAAAGAAACTGCTTTGCTTTGGCATGTGTGCATTCATCTTGCAGAGTTAAATCTTTTTATTTAACAATTTGGAAACACTGTTTTTGTATTATCTGTGAAGGGATATTTTGGTACACATTGAGGCCTGTGGTGAAAAATTAAACATCTTCAGATAAAAACTAAAAATATGATTTGTGAGAAACTCTTTTGTGATGCGTGCATTCATATCACAGAGTTAAACCTTTCTGTTTATTCACCAGTTTGAAAACACTGTTTTTGTCCATTCTGGGAATGAACATTTTGGATCTCCTTGTGGCCAGTGGTGAAAAGCCAAATATCCCAGGATAAAAACCAGAAGAAAGCTATCTGAGAAACAATTCTGTGTGTGTGTGCCTTCATTTCTCTGAGATAAACCTTTCTTTTCATTCAGCAGTAGGGATACACTGTTTTTGTGGAAACTGCAAAGGGATATTTAGGAGCATATTGAGGCCTACAGCGAAAAAAGAAATTTCTTCAGATAAAAACAAGAAAGAAGTTTCTGAGAAACAGCTTTGTGATGTGTGCATTCCTCTCACAAAGTTAAACTTTTCTTTGGGTTCAGCAGTTTGCATACACTATTTTTCCCATTATGCAAATGGACATTTTTGTGTTCATTGAGGCCAATGGCAAAACAGCAAATATCCCTATTGGGGAACCTGTCCTGATATTCATGTAAGTTCTTTTCTATATTCCTTAACCATTGGCCAGCTTGAGAAATAAAGGGACAGAGTACAAAAGAGAGAAATTTTAAAGCTGGGCATCTGGGGGAGACATCACATATCAGTAGGTTCCCTGATGTCCCAGAAGCAGCAAAAACCAGCAAGATTTTTTAGGGATTTTCAAAAGGGGAGGGAGTGTGCGAATAGGTGTGGGTCACAGACATCAAGTACTTTACAAGGTAATAGAATATATCACAAAGCAAGTGGAGGCAGGGCAAGATCACAGGACCACAGGACCGAGGGGAAATTAAAATTGCTAATGAAGTTTCAGGCACCATTGCCATTGATAACATCTTATCAGGAGACAGGGTTTTAAAATCAACCGGTCTGACCAAAATTTAATAGGTGGGAATTTCCTCCTCCTAATAAGCCTGGGAGTGCTATGGGAGACTGAAGTCTATTTCATCTCTGCAGTCTCGACCATAAGAGGCAGGCATGCCTTGGGGGCTGTTTATAACCCTATACCTCCAGGCACGTATTCTGCTTCTCAGGGATGTTCCTTGCTGGGAAAAAGAATTCAGCGATATTTCTCCCATTTGCTTTTGGAAGAAGAGAGATATGGCTCTGTTCCACCTGGCTCACTGGCAGTCAGAATTTAAGGTTATCTCTCTTATTCCCTGAACAATTGCTGTTATCCTGTACCTTTTTTAAGGTGCCCAGACTTCATATTGCTCAAACACACATGCTGTACAATTTGTGCAGTTAACGCGATTATCACATGGTCCCGAAGTGACGGACATCCTCCTCAGCTGACAGGATTAAGAGATTAATACAAAGACAGGCATAGGAAATTGCAAGGTTATTGATTGGGGAAGTGATAAGTGTCCAGGAAATCTTTACAATTTATGTTTAGATATTGCAGTAAAGACAGGCCTAAGAAATTATAAAAGTATTAATTTGGGGAACTGATAAATGTCCATGAAATCTTCAAAATCCACGTTCTTCTGCCATGGCTTCAGCTGGTCCCTCTGTTTGGGGTCCCTGACTTCCCACAACATCTCTCCCTTTCTTTTTATATAAATGTGCCATGGCGATGAAGGCTTGTTCATTCTCCTGATTTTGATGCAGGATTCTTTGACTAGTCCAGCACACTAAAAGCAAGCTGATTAAACAGAGAAACATATTTCCAAAATTTACTACAGTGGAGCACCCAATAGACTTAATCCAAGTCGTGGGGTTTAATCCATAAAGATTTTCTGCCACCTGATCTAAAGCCTCAGATCCAGGCACAATGGGTAAGTGAGCTTGAGAGGTTTCAAAAATTTGTTACTTTAATTTAGTTACATCCAATGATAAATTATCTTCTCTACCTAGAAGGTGTCTTTTGACCATTGCCCATGAATGATCAGTCTCATTATAGGAATATGGGGTGATGCAGAAATCCAAAGTTTTCCAATCACACTACATTTGCATGTGATACTCGAGACTCACTACCCAATCTCCAAGCCAACTAACAGACTGTCTTAAATCATTAATTTGATTTGCCTATTTTTGATTGGTGCCTTGTTGAGAATTCCACATTTGGGTGGAATTGGCTTGCCAATCATTAACAAAATGAGTGGTTTGAATGGATTGGTGTAATGCCATTCTGGGATTGGTTGCCATTGCAGTGACTGTAATTAGGTCCATGATAACAGCAACTAAAGTGAAGACAAATCTCTTAGATCTTTTAAGAATTCGCTGTAACACTTCATTAATTAAATGTATTGACAGGGAGGATTCTCAAGATCTAGGTAAAGTTACCAGAATCCAGATTCCTTCTAGAGCTTGAACCAACATTACACTTTTCCTGGAGTCAAAATGGGAGTTAATGCAAGTGTATAGATGATACCTGATGCATTGGACAGTTTGATTATTCAACCAAATTTTGATACTTCCTACTAACAGCAAGTAAGGGGGCTTAACACAACTCTGTATGGGAACACTCAGGTTGGAGGTAAGTAAAGCAGAATGTCTGGGTCTACATTGATACTGAGAGAGTGGGATGGTAGTGGGAACAACAGTCAGAATAGTTTTCCCTTCCCATACTCGCAGTCTAGACATGGCAATAGCCAATTTCTAAAGTTCTGGGTGTTCTGGGCTCAGAATGGGGAGTTTCATATGAAGCCTGGTGGGTAATGCCTTTATCTTCCTATTTTAAGGGAAAGAATGAGCTGAACCTCCTATGCAAAGTAGAATGATGATTCGCGTTCTCCTGATAAGAAATAAAATAATTAGCCTCCAGACATTCCCTTCTGCCAGAGGAACAATGGTTTTTTAAATAGCCCTTTGGTGCCCAGTTTATTACTAAACCATACGAGTCATTTTTTAATATTACTGCACGTGAGTTAACACAATCTTCCCAAATTAAAATTTTAGATGGGCCCTCAAAATTTTTAGGGCATGGTTTTTCTGCAGGTTTATATTGAAAGTGTGGGGTACCTCCCATTACTCCTCCTTACATTTGTTTTAAAGGAGAAAGAGAGAGGCCAGATACCAAATGTCCCATTTTATCTGTAGCTCAACTTTCTGGAAGTTAAGCAGCCCAGACTTGAGTTTCTAGATGGTTGCAACCAGCTGCATGTCTGAGGCACAGAGGGGGGTATTTATAACCCATGGTAACATTAAATGCAATGCCTTGTTCTCCTGGTTGAGCAGGGCAACGTTTATCTGTAGTTCCAGGTATCCACACACTATTGTTAGTGGAGATTTCTGCTGCAGCCTCTATCCAGGTGAGAGGTCGAATAAGCGGAGGAAAAGGCACATAAGCCCAATAAGAATAATTATGTGTAGCAGGTAAATCAGTGTGAGAGGACACTGGTGAGACAGAAAATATAAGGAGGAGAATCATTAAATTAAACCTAGTGTAAGTGAGATTTAGTGCTGAAGGAAGAAGAGAAGAACAGAGAGACGTTATTTTCAGGCTAATAGAAATGATGAGATTTTTAGGTTTTTAAGGAGAAAAAGAAAGGTAATCAGGAGAAGTGTGATTAGTTAGATGGGTCTCCATTGCCATCAGGGAGGACTGATTTACACCCATTGTGATTTGGTGTGCCTGTCTCTGAGGAGTTGGCACAGATCTCACCACGTCTGAAGGCAGTCTCTGACACAGACGTTTTTTATTGTGGTGTTCATTGTCAATATTCACCCAAAGCTTGAGTCTTCTGGTGGGTACCCAGACAGGGGATTGATGACGTCCTGGTGAAACACAAGCATTTCCTCTTCCCCACGTTATAATTGTGCCAGGTTCCCAGGTATTGTTTGGGAGTTTTTCCATAATACTGGCTTGCCTTCATTTTAGGTGAATTTTTTGCCTGTAATATGGCGTGTGGCTGCAGTTAATTATCTTTAGGAACATTTTTTAAAAAAATTAAGGTAAACAATGCCAAATGTAATTGGGAGTGTGGAGTAGTTAAATCATGTTTTGGTTGTTCTGACTGTTTGGACAATTGGGTTTTTAAACTGTGATTGTCCTGTTCCACCACAGCCTGTCCCTGAGGATTGTAAGGGATTCCAGTGATATGGGAAAGTCCCCACTGTTGCACAAATGAATCAAAAACCTTACTAACATATCCAGGGGCATTGTCTGTCTTTATTTGATATGGAAGCCCCATAACTTCAAAGCAAGAATACACGTAGTTTTTAACATGAGCTATGCCTTCCCTTGTTTGGCAAGTAGCCCAGATAAAACCTGAGAAAGTATCTAAAGAGTCATGCAAATATGAAAGTCTGCCAAAAGAGCTAACATGAGTCACATCCATTTGCCATAAAGCATTAAGAGTTAGGCCTCTAGGATTAACGCCAGGTTCCTGATTTGGAAGTACAAAGAACTGGCACTGAGGACAGCTGTGAACAATAAACTTACCTGTTTCCAGGTAAGAGCAAATTTATCTTTTAATCCAGTCGCATTGACCTGAGTAAGATGATGGAACTCTTGAGCTTCTTGGGTTGTAAAAGAGACCAAACAGTCGACTTTATGGTTACTGGCAGACATGGGTCCTGGTAAAGTGGTATGAGACCTAATATGTGTACTATAGAAAGTTTGTCTACGTTGGTGAACCACCTGTTGTAACCTTGAAAATAAAGAAGCCAATTCAGAATTATCAATATGTTTGATAGTAGCAGTTTCTATACTTTTAGTGGCATGTACTACATAAGTGGAATCTGAGACAATATTTAAAGGTTTTGGAAAATCCTGTAAAGCAGTAATCACAGCAATTTACTCCACCTTTTGAGCAGAAGTATAAGAGGTAGAAATAAGCTTGTCTGTAGGACCTATATAGCCAGAATTGCCATTACTGGACCCATCAGTGAACACTGTAATGGCCTCAGGAATGGGTTGATTTTGGGTTAATTGAGGAACCACCCAAGACGTTATTTTTATAAAATTAAATAATTTGATTTTTGGATAATGATTGTCAATAACTCCAATAAAATCAGCCAAGTGAATTTGCAACAGTACAGAATGTTGAAAGGCAGCTTGAACTTCAAGCCAATTTAAAGGAACTACAATTATATTTGGATCAAGTCCAGAAATATGAAGTACTCTGCACCGAGCCTGTCCAATTAACATGGCTATTTGGCATAGATAAACAGACAAAGTTTTTTGACACAGAATGAGGAAGAAAACACCACTCCACTAAATCATTATGTTGAACAATTAGTCCAATAGGGGAGTGTAATGAAGCAAAAACCAGAAGCTGAAGGGGCTGAAATGGCCGTACTCTAGATAACTGGGTGGTCTGGAATCTTTCCTCTACAAATTCCTGTTCTCATAAAGCCACAGGGGTCAAAGTCCTGGGGCTGTGGAGATCAGAATCTCCCCGCAGCATAGAGAACAAGTTAGATAGTGTATAGGTCGGAATGCCTAAAGTAGGTTTTAATAATTAATGTTATCCAAAAGTTTTTGGAAGTCACTTAAAGTTTTTAAAGAATCTCTGCTAATTTGAACTTTTTGAGGTTGAATACATTGTTTATTGACCACCATTCCTAAAGGTTGAATACATTGTTTATCGACCACCGTTCCTAAATATTGAACAGGAGTGGTCTGTTGAATTTTATCCTGAGTGATGTGTACTCCAGCCTCTGTAACACAGCAGCTCAAAATTTGGTAACATTCATTTAATTGTTTATCAGTGGGGGCAGCTATTAAAATGTCATTGATATAATGAAGAATATAGGCCTCGGGAAATTGGGCTCGAACTGGTGAAAGCACTTGTCCAACATAAAGCTGGCAGATTGTAGGGCTATTTAGCATTCCCTGAGGAAATACTTTCCATTGATAATGAGCTGCAGGCTCCTGATTATTGATAGATGGCACAGTAAAAGCAAATTTTTCACAATCCAATTTATGTAAAGCAATATAAAAAAATCTTTAAGATCAATAACTATGAAAGGCCAATCTTTAGGTATTAAAGCAGGGGCAGGCATGCCAGCTTGGACGTCCCCCATAGGTTTAATTACAGCATTAATGGCCCTTAAATTGGTTACCGTGTGCCATTTGCCTGATTTCGTTTTTACTAGGAACACAGGAGAATTCCAAGGGGAAAGAGAAGTTTCCACATTTCCAAGTTGCAACTGCTCAGAAACCAAATGATTTAAAGCCTCTAGTTTTTCTTTAGAGAGCAGCCACTGCTGAATCCCAAGGCCACGTGTCTTATCTCCTTTGTTTAAAATGATATTAGGTAGTAAAAGAAATTGAGCTTGTTTAACAGTAGTAAAAGAAACAGGAGCTTGGCCTGGGGAGTGTAATTTATCCCAAGGTCTCATACACAGCTTTGTTACTTGTTTTCTGGTAAGAGTATGAAAGTTTAATTGGGCATAAGCATGAGAGAAACTATCAGAGCTTGTGAGCTGAGCTTGAATAACTAGAATGCCATTACTCTGATTTAGCTGAGCCTGCAAACACGCCTGCTGTGACCACCAGGTATGGAATTGTAAATGCTGAGATGGGGTTAGAACAACTTTTGCCAAAATGTCACAATCTAAAGGGAGCAAAACGACCTCGCTACAAAAAGGTTGCAAAACCATTTGAACATAAGGAAAAGTAGGACCTTAGCATCCTTAAATTGTTTTTAAAAAGGTAAGATTGAGCAGCGCATATCAATGCAGACCAGTTGAGGAACCAAAAAGACAGGAGGGTGAAGGGCTGTAGTGGATGGGGGACAGCATGGAGAATGATAGGTAAATTGTAGTTTGGTCCTGGAGCCATTAGCTGATGCCGTAGGTTTGAAGAGAGAAGAATTAGCATATCTATGGTACCGAGTTGTGTGAATCGTGGCTGCAGGAGTTTCAAGTACTGGCTCTTCATGAAAAGAAGTAAGAAAATAGGGGGTAATTTTAAGCCAGAGTTACCAGAGTTTGACATTGAATTTTCAGCATCATTAGGTGGGGGAGGAGTATCCAAAGGGAGAGGCTGATCAGATAATGAAGGCCATGCAGGAGAGGAAGGTTGAGGAAAAGGTGGAAGATCATCAGATTCAGAAAACTGTGGTAACTGTAGGGGGTCATGGAATTGTTATGTCATCAGAACAGCATATACCAAAGCCCAGCAACTCCAAACAGTTACAGGAACATAATTCCCTTCTGAGACCAGTTTCTGGGATGCTTTACCAACACAATTACACAATTTTATATACACAGTTCCTTTTTCAGGAAACCAAGAGCAATATTTCAACACTGTCCTAAATAGAGCAATCATATTTTCTATGGTTACTCAGACAGTAACCTGTTTTAAGAGGAGTTTAATACAGGAGAGCTAAGCATGATGCTTAGACTCCACATGACCCATAGTTAACCCAGAGCTTACACAGACTATTCACCACTCATCAGGGAGTTGAACATGCATATCTGTGGACCAAGCTGATTGACGTTTCACCGCACCTACCAAAGGGAATTGGGTTCCCTCATGCACTTTGGGAAAAAGAAAGACAACGTGGGTTCCAGATATTGGGGAACCTGCCTTGATATTCACATAGGTTCTTTTCTATTTACTTAAGCATTGGCCAGCTTGAGAAATAAAGGGACAGAGTACAAAAGAGAGAAATTTTAAAGCTGGGTGTCCGGGGGAGACATCACATATCGGTAGGTTCTGTGATGCCTCACAAGCCATAAAAACCAGCCAGCTTTTATTAGGGATTTTCAAAAGGGGAAGGAGTGTGTGAATAGGTGTGGGTCACAGACATCAAGAACTTTACAAGGTAATAGAATATCACAAGGCAAGTGGAGGCAGGGCAAGATCACAGGACCACAGGACTGAGGCAAAATTAAAATTGCTAATGAAGTTTCGGGCACCATTGTCATTGATAACATCTTATCAAGAGACAGGGTTTTGAGATCAACCAGTCTTAAAAAATTTGTTGGGTGGGAATTTCCTGCTCTTAATAAGCCTGGGAGCGCTATGGGAGACTGGAGTCTATTTCAACTCTGCAGTCTTGACCATAAGAGGCAAGCACGCCACTGGGCCTGTTTATAAGCCTATACCTCCAGGCATATATTCTCCTTCTCAGGTGTATTCCTTGCTGAGAAAAAGAATTCAGCAATATTTCTCCGATTTGCTTTTGAAAGAAGAGAAATATGCCTCTGTTCTGCCCAGCTCACTGGCAGTCAGAATTTAAGGTTATCTCTCTTATTCCCTGAACAACTGCTGTTATCCTGTTCTTTTTTTAAAGTGCCCAGATTTCATATTGCTCAAACACACATGCTGTACAATTTGTGCAGTTAACGCGATTATCACATGGTCCCGAAGTGACACACATCCTCCTCAGCTGACAGGATTAAGAGATTAAAATAAAGACAGGCATAGGAAATCACAAGGGTATTGATTGGGGAAGTGATAAGTGTCCAGGAAATCTTTACAATTTATGTTTAGAGATTGCAGTAAAGACAGGCCTAAGAAATTATAAAAGTATTAATTTGGGGAACTAATACATGTCCATGAAATCTTCACAATCCATGTTCTTCTGCCATGGCTTCAGCCGGTCCCTCTGTTTGGGGTCCCTGACTTCCCGTAACATATTCCAGTATGAAAACTAGAACGAAGCAATCTGAGAAACCACTTTGTGATGTATGCATTCACCTCACAGAGTTAAACCTGTCTTTCATTCATCAGTTTGGAAACACTGTTTTTGTAGAATCTGCAAAGGGATATTTGGGAGCACATTGGGACCTATGGTGAAAAAGAAAACATCTTCAAATAAAAGCTAGAAAGAAGATTTGTGAGAAACTGCTTTGTGATGGCTGCATTCATCTCACAGAGTTAAACATTTTTTGCATTCAGCAGTTTAGAAACACTGTTTTTCTCCATTCTGTGAATTGACATTATGGGGCACATTGAGGCCAACAGCAAAAAAGAGAATATCCCAGGATAAAAACTAGAAGGAAGCTATCTGAGAAACCACTTGGTGATGTGTGCATTTATCTCACAGAGTTAAAACTTTCTTTTCATTCAGCAGTTTGGAAACACTGTTTTGGTAGAACCTTCAAAATGATATTTGGGAGCACATTGAGGCCAAAGGTGAAAAAGTGAATATTCCAGGATAAAAATTTCTCTGTCATGTGAGCATTCATCTAGCAGAGTTAAACCTTTCTTTTCATTCAACAGTTTGGAAAGAGTGTTTTCTTAAAATCTGCGAATAGATATTTGGTAGCGCATTGTGGCCCATGGTGAAAAAGGAAATATCTTCAGATAAAAAGTAGCAAGAATTTTCTGAGAAACTGCTTTGTAATGTGTTCATTCATCCAACACAGTTAAGCTTTTCTTTGGATTCAGCAGTTTGGTCACACTGCTTTTGTCCATTCTGTGAATGGATGTTTGGGAGATCATAGAAGCCAAGGGCAAAAAAGAGAAAGTCCCAGGATTAAAACTAGAAGGCAGCTATCTGAGAAATCGCTTAGTGATGTGTGTTTTCTCCCAGCAGAGTTAAAACTTTCTTTTCATTCAGCAGTTTGGAAACACTGTTTTTGTAGAAACTGTGAAAGGATATTTGGCAGCACATTAAGGCCTATGGTGAAAAAAGAAAAATCTTCAGATAAAAAGTAGAAAGAAGCTTTCAGAGAAATGGATTTGTGATGTGTGCACATATCTTACAGAGTCAAATATTTTTTGAATTCAGCAGTTTGAAAACATTATTTTGTCTCTTCTGCAAAAGTATATTTTTTTGCTCATAGAGGTCAATTGTGAAAAAGAAAATATACCAGGGCAAAATCTAGAAGGAAGGTCCTGAGAAACTGCTGTGTGATACCTGCATTCATCTCACAGAGTTAAATCTTTCTTTTCATTCATTAGTTTGGAAATACTGTTTTTGTAGATCTGTGAAGGGACCTTTGGGAGGGCCTTAATGCCTGTGGTGAAGAAAATATCTTAAGATAAACATGAGAAAGAAGCTTTCTGAGGAACTGTTTTGTGATGTGCGCATTTCTCTCACAGCTAAAACTTTCTTTGGATTCTGCAGTTTGGAGACACTGTTTTTCTCCAATCTGTGAATGGATATTTGGGACCTCATTGACACAAATGGTGAAAAAGTGAATATCCCAGGATAAAAACTTTAGGGATCATCTCTGAGAAACCATTTTGTGAGCTGTGCATTCATCTCACAGAGTTAAATCTTTCTTTTCCTTCAGGAGTTTGGAAATACTGTCTTTGTAGAATCAGTAAAAGGACACTTGGAAGTGCATTGAGGCCTAGTTTGAAAAAATTGTCTTCAGATAAGTCCCAGAAAGAAGTTTTGTGAGAAACTGCTTTCTGACATGTGCATTCATCTCACAGAGATAAAACTTTCTTTTGATTCAGCAGCTTTGTAACACTATTTTGTCTATTCTGCGAGTGGACACTAGGGAGCTCATTGAGGCCAATGGCAAAAAAGTGAATATACCAAGATAAAAAGGAGAAGGAAGCTCTCTGAGAAACCAGTTTGTGATGTGTAGATTTATCTCACAGACTTACATCTTTCTTTTCATTCAACAGTTTGGAAACATTGTTTTTGTAGACATTGCAAAGGGATATTTGGGAATTCATTGAGGCCTATGGTGAAAAAGAAAACATCTTCAGATAAAAAGTAGAAAGAAGCTTTCTGACAAAATTCTTTGTGATGTGTGCATTCATCTCACAGTTACACCATTCTTTAGATTTTGCAGTTTGGAAACACTGGTTTTGTCCATTCTGCGAATGGAAACTTGGGAGCTCATTGAGTCAATTGGCGAAAAAGTGAATATCCTAGAAGAAAAAATAGAAGGAAGCTATCTGAGTAATTGCTTTGTGATGTGTGCATTCATCTCACAGAGTTAAGCTTTTCCTTCATTCAGCAGTTTGGAAAAAACTGTTTTTGTAGAATCTGTGAATGCATATTTGAGAGTGAATTGAGGCCTACAGTGAAAAAGGAAATGTCTTCAGATAAAAACTAGAAGAAAACTTTCTGAGAAACTACTTTGTGATGTGTGCACTTATCTCACAGAGTTAAACGTTTCTTTGGATTCAGCAGTTTCAAAATACTCTTTTTGTCCATTCAGCAAATCAACATTTGGGAGTTCATTGAGGCCAATGGTGAAAAAGCAAATATCCAAGGATAAAAAGTAGAAGGAAGCTGTCTAAGAAACTGCTTGGTGATGTGTGCATTCAGCTCACAGACTTAAAATTTTCTTTTCATTCAGCACTTTGGAAGCACTTTTTATGTAGAATCTATGAAAAGATTTTTGGGAGCACATTGAGGCCTATTTTGCAAAAGAAAACATCTTCAGAGAATAACTAGAAAGAAGCTCTCTGAGGAACTGCTTTGTGATGTGTGCATTCACCTCACAGCATTAAAATTTTCTTTGGATTCAGCAGTTTGGAAGCACTGTTTTTGGAGAATCTGCAAAAGGATATTTGTAGCTCATTGAGGCCAAAGGCAAAAAAAGAGAATATCACAAGATAAAAACTAGAAAGAAGAATTCTGAGAAACCACTTTTTGATGTGGACATTCATCACACAGAGTTAAACGTTTCTTTTCATTGAGCAGTTTGGAAACACTGTTTTGGTAAAATCTTCAGATAGATAATTGGGAACACAATGAGGTTATGTTGAAAAAGGAAATATCTTCAGATAAAAACTAGAAAGAAGCTTTCTGAGAAACTGCTTTCTGATGTGTACATTCAACTCACAGAGTTAAGCCATACTCAGGATTCAGCACTTTGGAAACATAGTTTTTGTCGAATCTGTGAAGGGATATTTGGAGCTCATTCTGGCCAAATGCAAAAAAGTGAATATCGCAGGATAAAAACTAGAAGGAAGCTATATGAGAAACAGCTTAGTGATGTGTGCATTCATCTCACAGAGTTAAACTTTTCTTTGGATTTAGCAGATTGAATATATTGTCTTTGTAGAATCTGTGAAGGGATATTTTGGAGCACACTGAGGTCTATGGTGAAAAAGGAAGTATCTTCAGATAAAAATAGAAAGAAGCTTTCTGAGCAGCTGCTTTGTGATGTTTGCATTCATCTCACAGAGTTAAAACTTTCTTTGGATTCAGCAGTTCTGAAACACTGTTTTTGTATAATCTGTTAAGGGGTATTTGGAGTTCATTGAGGCCAAAGGTGAAAAAAGCAAATATCCCAGGATAAAAACCAGAAGGAAGCTATATGAGAAACTGCTTTGTGATGTGTGCTTTCATCTTAGAGAGTTAAACATTTCTTTTCATTCAGCAGTTTGAAAACACTGTTTTGGTAGAAACTGTGAAGGGTTATTTGGGAGCATATTTAGGCCTATGGTGAAAAAGGAAATATCTTCAGGTAAAAACTACAAAGAAGCTTTCTGAGAAAATGCTTCGTGGTGTGTGCATTCATCTCACACAGATAAATCTTTCTTTGGATTCAGCAGTTTGGAAACACTGTTTTTGTAGAATCTGCTGTGGGGTATTTGGAAACCCATTGAGGCTGAAGGTGAAAAAACGAATATCCCAGGTTGAAAACTAGAATGAAACTATCTGAGAAACCGCTTTGTGATGTGTGCATTCATCTTGCACAGTTAAACATTTGTTTTTCATTCAGCAGTTTGGAAACCCTCTTTTTGTAGAATCTGAGAAGGGATATTTGGAGCTCATTGAAGACATAGGCGAAAAAGCGAGTATCCCAGGAGAAAATCTGGAAGGAAGCTATCTGAGAAACTGCTTTGTGATGTGTGCATTCATTTCACAGAGTTAAAACGTAGTTTTCAACCAGCTGTTTGGTACCACTCTTTTTGTAGTATCTGGAAAAGGACATTTTGTAGCACATTGAGGACTATGGTGAAAAAGGAAATATATTCAGATAAAAACTAGAAAGAAGCTTTCAGAGAAACTGCCTTGTGATGTGTACATTCATCTCACAGAGTTAAAGCATTCTTTGGATTCAGCAGTTTGGAAACACTGTTTTGTAGAATCTGTAAAGGGATATTCGGAAGCTGATTGAGAATAAAGGTGAAAACGTGAATAACCCAAGATGAAAGCTAGAAGGAAGTTATCTGAGGAACAGCTTTGTGATGTGTGCCTTCATGTCACAGAGTTAATCCTTTCTTTTCGTTTAGTAGTTTGGAAACAGTGTTTTTGTCCATCTGCAAATGGACATTTGGGAGCTCATTGATGCAATGGCAAATATCCAAGATAAAAACTACAAGGAGTCTATCTGAGAATCCGCTTTGTGATGTTCACATTCATATCACAAAGTTAAACCTTTCTTTGGATTCATCAGTTTGGAAACACTGTTTTTGACCATTCTGCAAATGGACATTTAGGAGGTCATTGATGCCAATGGTGAAAAAGTGAATATCCCAGGATAAAAACTATAGGGAAATTATCTGTGAAATGGCTTTGTGATGTGTGCATTCATCTCGCAGAGTTAAACTTTTCTTTTTTCAGCAGTTTGGAAGCACTGTTTCGGTAAAAACTGTGAAGGGATATTTAGCAGTGCATCGAGGCCTATGGTGAAAAAGAAAATATGTTCAGATAAAAACTTGAAAGAAGTTTTATGAGAAACTGCTTGGTGATGTGTGCATTCATCTCACAGAGTTAAACTTGCTTTCAATTCAGCGGTTTGGAAAACCTGTTTTTATAGAAACTGCAGTGGGATATTTGATAGCAAATTGAGGCCTTATGTGAAAAAGTAAATATCAAATGATAAAAACTAAAAGGAAGCTATTTGAGAAACTGCTTTTAATGTGTACAATCTTCTCAGACATTTAAACCTTTCCTTTCATTCAGTAGTTTTAAACACCTGTTTTTGTAAAATATGTGAAAGTATATGTGGCAGTCCATTCAGGACTAGTGAAAAAGGAAATGTCTGCAGGTAAAAACTAGAAAGAAGCTTTCTGAGAAAATGTGTGCATTCATCTCACACAGGTAAACCTTTCTTTTGATTCTACAGTTTGGAAACACTGTTTTTATAGAATATGCAAAGGGATATTTTGGAGCTCATTGAGAGCAAAGGCAAAAACATGAATATCCCAGTATAACAACTAGAAGGATGCAAAGTGAGAAACCACTTTGTGATGTGTGCATTCATCTCACAGAGATAAATGTTTGTTTTCGTTCAGTAGTTTGGAAACACTGTTCTGTAGAAACTGCAAAGAGAGATTTGGGAGCACATTGAGGCCTATGGTAAAAACGAAATACCTTCAAATAAAAACTAGAAATAAGCTTTTGGAGAAAATGCTTTGTGATGTGTCCATTCATCACACGGAGTAAAACCTTTCTTTGGATGCTGTAGTTTCAAAAAACTGTTTTAGTCCATTCTGCAAAAGGCCAGTTGGGAGCTCATTGAGGCCAAAGGTGAAAAAGTGAATATTGCATGATAAAAAATAGAAGAAATCTATCTGAGAAACTGCTTTGTGAAGTGTGCATTCATCTCACAGTTAAACATTTGTTTTCATTCAGCAGTTTGGAAACACTGTTTATGTATAATCTGCAAAAGGATATTTGGAGCTCATTGATGCCATAGGCAAAAATGAGAATATCCCTGGATAAAAATTAGAAGGAAACTATCTGAGAAATCGCTTTGTGATGTGTGCATTCATCATGCAGATTTAAACCACTCTTTTCGTTCAGTAGTTTGGGAACACTGTTTTTGTAGAATCTGGGAGAGATTTGAGGCCTATGGTGAAAAAGAAAATATCTTCAGATAAACTAGAAAGAAGCATTCTGAGAAACTGATTTGTGTTGTGTGCATTCATCTCAAAGAGTTGAACCTTTCTTTGGATTGCGCAGTTTGGAAACACTGTTTTTGTAAAATTTGTGAAGGGATATTTGACAGCTCATTGAGGCCAAAGGAGAAAAAGCAACTATCCCAGGATAAAACCTAGAAGGAAGCTATGTGTCAAACAGTTTTGTGAAGTGTGCATTCAACTGCATGAGTTAAACCTTTCTTTTCATTCAGCAGTGTGGAAACACAGTTTTTGTAGAATCTATGAAGAAATATTTGGGACCACATTGATGCCTAGGCAAAAAAAAAAAAAAAAAGAAATATCTTCAGAGAAAAGCTAGAAAGAAATTTTCCGAGAAATTGCTTTGTGATGTGTGCATTCGTCTCACAGAGTTAAACCTTTATTGGATTCAGCAGTTTGGAAACACTGTGTTTGTAGAATCTGCAAAGGGTTATTTGGAGCTCATTGAGGCCATAGGCAAAAAGGTGAGTATCTAAGAGAAAACCTAGAAGGAAGCTATCTGAGAAACCACTTCATGATGTTTGCATTCATCTCTCAGAGTTAAACCTTTCTTTTCATTCACTACTTTGGAACCACTGCTTTTGTAGCATCTGCAAAAGGATATTTGGGAGTGCACTGGGGCCTGGGGTGAAAAATGAAATATCTTCAGATAAAAACTAGAAAGAAGCTTTCTGAGAAACTGCTTTGTGATGTGTGCATTCACCACACATACATAAAACTTTCTTTTCATACACCAGTCTGGAAACACTGTTTTGGTAGAATCTGCAAAGGGATATTTGGGAGCACATTGAGGCCTGTGGTGAAAAAGAAAATATCTTTAGATAAAAACTAGAAAGAAGATTTCTGAGAAACTGCTTTATGATGTGTGTATTCATCTCACAGAGTTAAACCATTCTTTGGATTCAGCAATTTGTAAACACTGTTTTTGTATAATCTGCAAAGGGACATTTGGGAGCTGATTGAGACCAAAGGTGAAAATAAGAATATTCCAGTATAAAAACTAGAAGGAAGCTCTCTGAGAAACTACTTTGTGATGTGTGCATTCATGTAACAGAGCTAAAGCTTTCTTTTCATTCAGTAATTTGAAAACACTGTTTTTGTCCATCTGTGAATGGGCATTTGGGAGCACTTTGATGCAATGGCAAAAAAGCGAATATCCCAGGATACAAACCAGAAGGAAACTATCTGAGAATCTGTTATGTGATGTTCACATTTTTCTAACAAAGTAAACCTTTCTTTGGATTAAGCCATTTGGAAACACTTTTTTTGCCCATTCAGTGAATGGACATTTGGGAAGTCCTTGACGCCAATGGCGAAAAAGAGAATATACTAGGATAAAAACAAGCAAGAAGCTATCTGTGAAATGGCTTTGTGATGTGTACATTAGTCTTGCAGAGTTAACCCTTTCTTTTAATCCAGCAGTTTGGAAATGCTGTTTTGCTAGAAACTGTGAAGGGATATTTGGAAGCACATTGAGGCCTGTGGTGTAAAAGGAAATATCTTCAGATAAAAACTAGAAATAAGCTTTCTGAGACACTGTTTTGTGATGTGTGCATTCATCTCACAGAATTAAACATTGCTTTGGATTCAGCATTTTGGAGAAACAATTTTTGTAGAATCTGCAATGGGATATTTGATAGCCCATTGAGGCCATAGGCAAAAAAGAAAATATCAAAGGATAAAAACTGGAAGGAAGCTATCTTAGAAACCACTTTTTGATGCATACATTCATATCACAGAGTTAAACCTTCTTTTCTTTCAGCAGATTTAAACACTGTTTTAGTAGAATCTGTGAAAGGATATGTGGGAGTCCATTGAGGCCTATGGTGAAAAAGGAAATATCAGCAGGTGAAAACTACAAAGAAGCTTTCTGAGAAAATGTGTGCATTCATCTCACAGAGGTAAACATTTCTTTGGATTCCGCAGTTTGGAAACTGCAGTTTTTGTAGAATATGCGAAGGGATATTTGGGAACTCATTGAGACCAAAGGCAAAAACACGAATATCTCAGTATAAAAACCAGCAGGAAGCTATGTGAGAAACCACTTTCTGTTGTGTGCATTCATCTTGCAGAGTTAAACTTCCTGTGGATTCAGCAATTTTGAAACACTTTTTTTGGTACAATCTAGGAAGGGATATTTGGGAGAGAATAGAGGCCAATGATGAAAAAGGAAATAATTTCAGATAAAAACTAGAAGGAAGCTTTCTGAGAAATTGCTTTGTCGTGTGTGCATTTGTCTCACAGGGTTAAACCTTTCTTTGCATTCAGCAGTTTGGAAACACTAGTTTTGTAGAATTAGTGAAGGGATATATGATACTTCATGGAGGCCAAAGGTGAAAAAGGAAATAGCCCTAGATAAAAACTAGAAGGAAGCTATCTGAGAAATGACTTTATAATGTGTGCATTCATCTTGAAGAGTTAAACCTTTCTTTTCATTCAACAGTTTGGAACCACTGTTTTTGTAGAATCTGTGAAAGGATATTTTGGAATGCATCGAGGCCTGTGGTGAAAAAGGAAATATCTTCAGATAAAAACTAGAAAGAAGCTTTCTGAGAAACTGAATCATGTGGTGCACATTCATCTCACAGAGTTAAAACTTTCTTTTCATTCAGCAGTTTGGAGGCACTGTTTTGGTAGAATCTGCAAAGGGATATTTGGGAGTGTTTTGAGGCCTATGGTGAAAAAGGAAATATCATCAGAAAAAAACTAGAAAGAAGGTTTCTGAGAAACTGTTTTGTGATGTGTGCATTCATCTCACAGAGTTAAACCTTCCTTTGTATTCAGCAGCTTGGAAACACTGTTTTTCTCCATTCTGTGAATGGGCATTTTGGAGCTCATTGAGGCCAATGGCAAAAAAGTGAATATCCCAGAATAAAAACTGGAAGGAAGCTATCGGTGAAACTACTTAGTCATGTGTGCATTCATCTCACAGAGTTAAACCTTTCTTTGTATTCAGAAATTTGCAAACACTGTTTTTGTCCATTCTGGGAATGGACATTTAGGAGGTCATTGATGCCAATGGTTAAAAAGCAAATATGCCAAGATAAAAACTAGAAGGGAACTATCTGAGAAATGGATTTGTGATGTCTGCATTCATCTTGCAGACTTACTTAAACCCTTCTTTGGATTCAACAATTTGGCAATATGGTTTTTGTCTATTTGGGCAAAGGAGATTTTGTAACTCATTGAGGCCAAAGTCAAAAAAGTGAATATCATAGGATAAAAACTAGAAGGACGCTATCTGAGAAACTGCTTTGTGAGGTGTGCCTTCATTTAGCAGATTTAAACCTTTCTTTTCATTTTAAAGTTTGGAAACTCTCTTTCTGTAGAATCTGAGAAGGGATGTTTGAAGCTCATTGATATCAGAGGCAAAAAAGAGAATATCCCACAATAAAAACTAGAAGGAAACTATCTGAGAAATCACTTTGTGATGTGTCCATTCATCTTGCAGATTGAAAACTTTCTTTTCATTCAGCAGTTTGGAAACAATGTTTTTGTAGGACCAGTGAAAGGATATTTGGAGAGCTTTGAGGCCTATGGTGAAAAAAAAACTTCAAAAAAAAAAAAAAAAAACTAGAAAGAAGCTTTCTGAGAAACTGCTTCTTGTTGTGTGCATCCATATCACAGAGTTAAACCTTTCTTTCCATTCAGCAGTTTGGAAACACGTTTTCGTAGAATCTGCTAAAGGATATTTGGGACTGCATTGAGGCCTAAGCAGAAAAAAGAAATATCTTCAGATAAATACTGGAAAGAAGCTTTCTGTGAAACTGCTTTGTGATGGGTGCATTCATATCACAAGGTTAAACCTTTCTTCGTATTCAGCAGTTAGGAAACACTGTTTTCTTAGAGTCTGCAGAGGGATATTTGGGAGCTCATTGAAGCCAATGGTGAAAAAGCAAATATCCCAGGATAAAAACTAGATGGATGCAATCTGAGACACCACGTTGTGATATGTGTATTCACCTCTCAGAGTTAAAAGTTTTCTTTAATTCAGCATTTGGAAACACTGTATTGGTAGAATCTGTGAAGGGATAATTTGAGCACATTTAGGCCAATGGCAAAAAAGCAAATATCAGTGGATAAAAACTAGATGAAAGCTATCTGAGCAACAGCTTTGTGATCTGTGGATTCATCTAGCATAGTTAAACCTTTCTTTTCATTGAACAGTTTGGAAAAAATGTTTTGGTAAAATCTGCAAAGGGCTATTAGGGTGCACAGGAAATATCCTCAGATAAAAACTAGAAAGAAGCTTTCTATGAAACTGCTTTGTGGGTTGCCTGTTCACTCCGATGGTAGTTTCCTTTGCTGTGCAGAAGCTCTTTCGTTTAATTAGATCTCATTTGTCAATTTTGCCTTTTGTTGCCATGGCTTTTGGTGTTTTAGACATGAAGTCCTTGCCCACGCCTATGTCCTGAATGGTATTGCCTAGGTTTTCTTCTAGGGTTTTTATGGTTTTAGGTTTAACATGTAAGTTTTTAATGCATCTTGAATTAATTTTTGTATAAGGTGTAAGGAAGGGATCCAGTTTCAGCTTTCTACATATGGCTAGCCAGTTTTCCCAGCAATATTTATTAAATAGGGAATCCTTTCCCCATTGCTTGTTTTTCTCAGGTTTGTCAAAGATCAGATAGTTGTAGATACTTGGCATTATTTCTGAGGGCTCTCTTCTGTTCCATTTTTCTATATCTCTGTTTTAGTACCAGTACCATGCTGTTTTGGTTACTGTAGCCTTGTAGTATAGTTTGAAGTCAGGTAGCATGATGCCTCCAGCTTTGTTCTTTTGACTTAGGAATGACTTGGCAATGTGGGCACTTTTTTGGTTCCATATGAACTTTAAAGTAGTTTTTTCCAATTCTGTGAAGAAAGTCATTGTTAGCTTGAAGGGGATGGCATTGACTCTATAAATGTCCTTGGGCAGTATGGCCATTTTCACTATATTGATTCTTCCTATCCATGAGCATGGAATGTTCTTCCATTTGTTTGTATCCTCTTTTATTTCATTGAGCAGTGGTTTGTAGTTCTCTTTGAGGAGGTCCTTCACATCCCTTGTAAGTTGGATTCCTAGGTATTTTATTCTCTTTGTCGCAATTGTGAATGGGAGTTCACTTATGATTTGGCTCTGTGTTTGTCTGTTATTGGTGTATAAGAATGGTTGTGATATTTGCACATTGATTTTGTATCCTGAGACTTTGCTAAAGTTGCTTATCAGCTTAAGGAGATTATGGGCTGAGACAATGGGGTTTTCTAGATATACAATCACGTCATCTGTAAACAAGGACAATTTGACTTCCTATTTTCCTAATTGAATACCCTTTATTTCCTTCTCCTACCTGACTGCCCTGACCAAAACTTCCAACACTGTGTTGAATAGGAGTGGTGAGAGAGGGCATCCTGTCTTGTGCCAGTTTTCAACGGAAATGTTTCCAGTTTCTACAGAATGGGAGAAAATTTTTGCAACCTACTCATCTGACAAAGGGCTAATATCCAGAATCTACAATGAACTCAAACAAATTTACAAGAGAAAACAAACAACCGCATCAAAAAGTGGGTGAAAGATATGAACAGACACTTCTCGAGAGAAGACATTTATGCAGCCAAAAAACACATGAAAAAATGCTCATCATCACTGGCCATCAGAGAAATGCAAATCAAAACCACAATGAGATACCATCTCACGCCAGTTAAAATGGCGATCATTAAATAGTCAGGAAACAACAGGTGCTGGAAAGGATGTGGAGAAATAGGAACACTTTTACACTGTTGGTGGGACTGTAAACTAGTTCAACAATTGTGGAAATCAGTGTCGCAATTCCTCAGGGAAATTGAAATACCATTTGACCCGGCCATCCCATTACTGGGTATATATCCAAAGGATTATAAATCATGCTGCTATAAAGAAACATGCATACGTATGTTTATAGTGGTATTATTCACAATAGCAAAGACTTGGAACCAACCTAAATGTCCAACAACGATAGACTGGATTAAGAAAATGTGGCACATAAACACCATGGATACTATGCATCCATAAAAAATCATGAGTTCATGTCCTTTTTAGGGACATGGATGAAGCTGGAAACCATCATTCTCAGCAAAATATCACAAGGACAAAAAGCAAACAACACATGTTCTCACTCATAGGTGGGAATTGAACAATGAGAACACATACACACAGGAAGGAGAACATCACACACTGGGGACTGTTGTGGGGTTGGGGGAGGGGGGAGGGAGGGCATTAGGAGATATACCTAATGTTAAATGATGAACACACCAATATGGCCCATGTATACATATGTAACAAACCTGCATGTTGTGCACATGTACCCTAAACCTTAAAGTATAATAATAATAAAATTTAAAAAAAGAATAAAACTGCTTTGTGATGTGTGCATTCATCTCATAGAATTAAACCTTTCTTTGGATTCAGCAGTTTGGAATCACTGTTTTTGTAGAATCTGCGAAGGAATATTTGGGAGCTCATTGAGGTCAAAGGCAAAAAAGCAAACATCCCAGGATAAGAAATGGAAGGTAGCTATCTGACAATCTGTTTTCTCATGTTTCCATTCAACTCGCAGTTCTAAACTTTCTTTTCATTCAGCAGTTTGGAAACACTTTTTGTAGAATCTGTGAGGGGGTATTTGGGAAAGCATTAAGGCCAAAGGTGAAAAAGCAAATATCCCAGGATAAAAACTAGAAAGAAGCTATCAGAGAAACCACTTTGGGATAAGTGAATTCATCTCACGGAATTAAGCCTTTCTTTATTCAGCAGTTTGGAAACACTGTTTTAATATAATATGTGAAGGGATATTTGGAAGTGCAGTGAGGCCTATAGTGTAAAAGGAAATGTCTTCAAATAAAAACTAGAAAGAATCTTTCTCAGAAATTGTTTTGTGATGTGTGCATTCATCTCACAGAGTTAATCTTTTCTTTGGTTTTAGCAGTTTGGAAACACTGCTTTTGTCCATTCTGCAAATGGACGTTTGGGAACTCCTTGAGGCCTGTGGTGAAAAAATGCATATCTTAGGATAAAAACTAGAAGGAGGCTATCTGAGAAACTGCTTTGTGATGTGTGCTTTCAACTCGCAGAGTTAAACATTTCTTTTCTTTAAGCAGTTTGGAAACACTTTTTTTGTATAATCTGTGAAGCGATATTTGGGAGTGCAATAGGGCAATGGTAAAAAAGGAAATATTGTCAGATAAGAACTGGAAAGAAGCTTTCTGAAAAACTGTTTTGTGATGTGTATATTTCTCTCCCAAATTTAAACCATTCTTTTTATTCAGCATTTTGGAAATACTGTTTTTTGTCCATTCTGCAAATGCTTATTTGGGAGCTCATTGAGGCCAATCCAAAAAAACGAATATCCCAGGATAAAAACTATAAGAAAGCTATCTCTGCAAATGCTTTGTGATGTGTGCATTCATCTCACAGGTAAACCTTTCTTTTCATTCATTGGTTTGGCAATACTGTTTTTGTAGCATCTGTGAAAGGATATATGGGAGCGCATTGAGGCCTATGGTGAAAACGGAAATGTCTTCAGAAAAAATCTAGAAATAATCTTTCTGATAAACTGCTTTGCAATGTGTGCATTTATCTCACTGAGTAAAACTTTTATTTGGATTCAGCAGTGTGGGAACAATGTGTTTGTAGAATCTGCGAAGGGATATTAGATAGCTCATTGAGGCCAATGGCGACAAAGCGAATATCCCAGGATAAAAACTGTAAGGAATCTATCTGAGAGAACGCTTTGTGATGTGTGCATTCACCGTGCATACTTACACCTTTATTTTCACTCAGCAGTTTGGAAACACTGTTCGATAGAATCTGTGAAGGGATAGTTTGGAGCACATTGAGGCTTATGGTGTAAAAGTAAATATCTTCAGATAAAAACTAGAAAGAAGCTTTCTGAGAAACTGCTTTGTGATGTGTGCATTCATCTCACAGAGTTAAACATTCCTGTAGATTCAGCAGTTTGGAAACACTGTTTATGTCCATTCTGCGAATGGACATCTGGGAGCGCATTGAGGCCAAAGGCAAAAAAGTGAAAATCCCAGGATAAAAACTAGAAGGAAGCTATCTGAGAAACCACTTTCTGATGTGTGCATTCATCACACAGTGTTAAACCTCTTTTTAATTCATCAGTTTGGCAACATTGGTTTTGTAGAATCTGTGAAAGTATATTTGGGAGTGCATTGTGGCCCATGGTGAAAATGGAAATCTCTTCAGATAAAATCCAGAAAGAAGCTTTCTGTGAGACTCCTTTGTGATATGTACATTCATCTCACAGAGTTAAACCATTCTTTGGATTCAGCATTTTGGAAACACTGTGTTTGTAGAATCTGTGAAGGGATATTTGAAAGTTCATGGAGGCCCCAGGCAAAAAAGGGAATATCTCAGGAAAGAAACTAGAAGGAAGTTATCTGAGAAACTGCTGTGATGTGTGCATTCATGTCGGAGAGTTAAACCTTTCTTTTCATTCAACTGATTGGAAACACTGTTTTGTAGAATCTGTGAAGGGATACTTGGGAACTCATTTAGCTCTGTGAGATAAATGCATATAGAGAAATATATTCAGTTAAAATTACAAAGAAGCTTCCTGAGGAACTGCTTTGTGATGTGTGCATTCATCTCATGGTGTTAATCATGTCTTCAGATTCAGTAGGTTGGAAACACTGTTATTGTCCATTCTGTGAATAGACATTTGGGAATTCCTTGAAGCCTATGGTAAAAAAACGAATATCCTAGGATAAAACCTAGAGGGAAACTATCTGAGAAACCACTGTGTGATGTGTGCATTCATCTCACACAGTTAAACCTTTCTTTTCATTCAGCAGTTTAGAACCACTGTTTTGGTAGAATGTGTGAAGGCATATTTGGGAGCACATTGAGGCTTATGGTGCAAAAGGAAATAACTTCAGATGAAAACTAGAAAGAAGGTTTCCTAGAAACTGCGTTGAGATGTGTGCATTCATCTCACAGAGATAAAGCTTTTGCTTGATTCAGCAGTTTGGAAACACTGTTTTTCTAGAATATGTGAAGGGATATTTGACAGCTCATTGAGGCCATAGGCAAAAAAGTGAATATCCCAGGATAAAAACTAGAAGGAAGCTATCTGAGAAACAGCTTTGTGATGTGTGCATTCATCTCACAGAGTCAAATCTTCCTCTTGATTCAGCATTTGGAAACATTGGTTTGGTAGAATCTGCAAAGGGATATTTGGGAGTGAATTGACACCTGTGGTGAAAAAGGAAATGACTTCTGATAAAAACTACAGAGAAGCATTTGGGAAACTGCTTTGTGACGGTGCATTCGTCTTTGAGAGTTAAAACTTTTTTTGTTTTCAGCAGTTGGGACACACTGTTTTTGTAGAATCTGTGAAGGGATACTGGGGAGTTGATTGAGGCCAAGGGTGAAAAAGCAAATATCCCCGGACAAAAACTTGATGAAAACTGTCAGAGAAACTGCTTTGGGATGTGTGCATTCATCTCAAAGAGTTACACATTTGTTGTTTTTCAGCACATCAGAAACACAGTTTTGGTAGAATCTGCAAAGGGATATTTGGGAGCACTTTGAGGTCTATGTTGAAAAAGGAAACATCTTCAGATAAAAACTAGGAAGAAGCTTTTGAAAAACTGCTTTGTGATGTCTGCATTCATCTCACAGAGGTAAAACTCTCTTTGGATTCAGCAGTTTGGAAACACTGCTGTTGTCCTTTTGTGAATGAACATTTTGGAGCTCATTGAGTCAAATGACAAAAAAGCAAATAGCCCATGATAAAAACTGGTAGAAAGCTATTTAAGAAACTACTTTGTGATGTGTGCATTCATCTCATAGAGATAATAATTTCTTTTCATTTGTCAGTTTGGAGACTTTTTTTGTAGAATCTCAAGTGGATATTTGGGAGCACATTGACTTCTATGGTAGTAAAGGAAATATATTCAGATAAAAGCTAGAAAGAAGCTTTCAGAGAAACTGCTTTGTGATTTGTGCATTCATCTCCCAGAGCTAAACATTTCTTTGGATTCAGCATTTTGAAAACACTGTTTTTATCCATTCTTTGAATGGACAATTTGGAGCTCATTGAGGCCAATGATGAAGAAGCAAATATCCCAGGATAAAAACTAAAAGGAAGATATATGAGAAACTGCTTTGTGATAACTGCATTCATCTTGCAGAGTTAAAGTTTTCTTTTCATTCGGCAGTTTGGAAACACTGTTTTTATGAAATCTGCAAAGGGATATTTGAGAGCTCTTTGAGGCCTATTATGAAAAAGGAAATATCTTCAGATAAAAACTAAAAAGAAAGTCAGTGTGGCGATTCCTCAGGGATCTAGAACTGGAAATACCATTTGACCCAGCCATCCCATTATTGGGTATATACCCAAAGGATGATAAATCTTGCTGCTATAAAGACACATGCACATGTATGTTTATAGTGGCACTATTCACAATAGCAAAGACTTGGAACCAACCCGAATGTCCAACAATGATAGACTGGATTAACAAAACGATAGACTGGCACATACACAGCATGGAATACTATGCAGACATAAAAAATGATGAGTTCATGTCCTTTGCAGGGACATGGATGAAGCTGGAAACCACCATTCTCAGCAAACTATTGCAAGGACAAAAAAATCAAACACTGCGTGTTCTCACTCATAGGTGGGAATGGAACAATGAGAACACGTGGACACAGGAAGGTGAACATCACACACCAGTTACCGTTGTGGGATTGGGGGAGGGGGGAGGGATAGCATTAGGAGATATACCAAATGCTAAATGACTAGTTAATGGGTGCAGCACACCAACATGGCACATGTATACATATGTAACAAACCTGTATGTGGTGCACATGTACACTAAAACTTAAAGTATAATAATAATAAAATTTAAAAAATAAATAAATAAATAAATAATAAAAAATAAAAGAAAAAAACTAAAAAGATTTCTGACAAACTGCTTTGTGATGTGCTCATTCATCTAACAGAATTAAACCCTGTTTTTTGATTCAGCAGTTTGGAAAAACTTTTTCTCCTCCTGCTAATGGACATTTTGGAACTTATTGATTCCAACGGCAAAAGAGCTGTCTGAGAAAATGCTTTGTGTAGCATTTGTAACTCTCACAGAGTTCAAACTTACTTTTCATTCAGCAGTTTCGAAACATTGTTTAGTAGAAACTGCAAAGGGACATTCGGGAACACCTTGAGGCCTATGGTGAAAAAGGAAATAACTTCAGATAATAACTAGAAAGAAGCTTCCTGAGAAACTGCTTTGTGATGTGTGCATTCATCTGACAGAGTTAAACATTTCTTTAGATTCAGCAGTTTGGATGCACTGTTTTTGTCCATTCAGCAAATGGACATTTGGGACCACATTGAGGCCAAAAGTGAAAAAGTGACTATCCCATGATAAAAACTAGAAGAAAGCTATCTCAGAAACCGATTTGTGATGAGTGCATTCATCTCACCGAGATAAACCTATCTTTTCTTTCAGCAGTTTGGAAAAACTGTTAGATAGAATCTGTGAAGGGATATTTGGGAGTACATTGAGGCCTATGGTGAATAAGGCAATAGGTTCAGATAAAAAGTATAAAGAAGCTTTCTGAGAACTTTCTTCATGATGTGTATTGAGGCCAATGGTGAAAAAGTAATTATCTTCAGAAAAAACATAGTAAGAAGCTTTCTGAGAACTGTTTTGTAATGTGTGCATTAATCTCAGAGAGATAAACGTTTCTGTGGAATCAGCAGTTTGCATATACTGTTTTTGCACATTCTACAAATGGACTTTTGGGTACTCGTTGGGGCCAATGTTGAAAAAGTGAATATGCCAGGATAAAAACTAGGAGGAATTGTCTGATAAACCACTTTGTGATGTATGCATTCATCTAGCAGAGGTAAACCTCTTTTTTCATTTAGCAATTTGGAAACACTGTTTTTGTAGAATATTGAAGGGATACTTGGCAGTGCTTTAAGGCCCATGGTGAAAAAGGAAGTATCATCAGATAAAAACTAGAAAGAAGCTTTCTGAGCAACTGGTTTGGGATTTGTGCATTCATCTCAGAGAGTAAACCTTTCTTTGGATTTAACAGCTTGGAAACACTGTTTTTGTCCATTCTGTGAACGGACATTTGGGAGCTCATTTAGGCCAATTGTGAAAAAGTGAATATTCCAGGATTAAAACTAGAAGGAACCTACCTGAGAAACGGCTTTGTGATGTGTGCATTCAGCTTGCAGAGGTAAACCTTTCTTTTCATTCAGCAGTTTGGAAACACCGTATTTGTAGAATCTGTGAATGGATATTTGGCATCACTTTGAGGCCTATGATGAAATAGAAAATATCATTAGCTATAAACTATAAAGAAGTGTTCTGAGAAATTGCTTTGTGATGTGCTCATTCATCTCACAGAGTTAAACCTTTCCTTAGATTCAGCATTTTGGAAATCCTGTTTTTGTACATTCTGCGAATGGACTTTTGGGAACTCACGGATGCCAATGTCGCAAAAGTGAGTATCCCAGGATAAAAACTGGAAGGAAGTTATCTGAGAAACGGATTTCTGATGTGTGCATTCAACTCACAGTGTTAAAACTTTGTTTTCATTTAGCAATTTGGAAACACTCTTTTCTCAAAGTCTGGGAAGAGACATTTCAAAGACTGTGGAGGCCTATGGTGAAAATGGAAATATCTTTAGATAAAAACTAGAAAGAAACATAATGAGAAACTGGCTTGGGATGTATGCATTCATCCCAGGGATTTAAACTTTTCTTTTTTTTCTTTATTGTATTTTAAGTTTTGGGGTCCATGTGCACAACGCGCAGGTTAGTTGCAACTGTATAACTGTGCCATGTTGGTGTGCTGCACCCATTAACTCGTCATTTAACATTAGGTATATCTCCTAATGCTATCCCTCCCCCATCCCCCCACCACACAACAGGCCCCGGTGAGTGATGTTCCCCTTCCTGTGTCCATGTGTTCTCATTGTTCCATTCCCACCTATGAGTGAGAACATGCGGTGTTTGTTTTTTTCTCCTTGTGATAGTTTGCTGAGAATGATGGTTTCCAGATTCATCCATGTCCCTACAAAGGATGAAAACTAGAAAGAAGCTATCTGAGACACCGGTTTCTGATGTGTGCATTCATCTCAGAGAGTTAAACTTTTTTTTTTTTTTTCTATTCAGCAGTTTGGAAACACTGTTTTTGTAGAATCTGTGAAGGGATATTCTGTAGCTAATTGAGGCCAAAGGCAAAAAAAGCTAATATCCAATGATTATAAACTAGAGGGAAGCTATCTGAGAAACTACTTTGTGATGTGTGCATTCTACTCACAGAGTTAAAACTTTCTCTTCATTCAGTGGTTTGGAAACACTCTTTTTGTAGAATCTGCAAAGGGTTATTTGGGAGTGCATTGAGGCCTATGGTGAAAAAGGAAATATCTTCATTTGAAAACTAGAAAGAAACTTTCTGAGACGCTGCTTTATGATGTATGCATTCATCTCACAGAGTTAAACCATTCTTTGGATTCAGCAGTTTGGAAACACTGCTGTTGTAAATCAGCGAAGGGATATTTGGGAGCTCATTGATGACAAATGCAAAAAGCGAATATCCCCGGATGAAAATTAGAAGAAAGCTAATTGAGAAACTGCTTTTTGAAGTTTGCATTCACCTTGCAGTGTTAAAGCTTCCTTTTCATTGAGCGGTTTGGAAACAATTGTTTTGTAGAATCTGCGAAGGGATATTTGGCAGCCCGTTGAGGCCTATGGTGAAAAAGGAAATATCCTCAGATAAAAACTATAAAGAAGCTTTCTGCAAAACTGTTATGTGATATGTGCATTCATCTCACAGCGTTAAACTTCTCATTGCATTGAGCAGTTTGGAAACAATGTTTTGTCCATTCCACGAATGGACATTTGGGAGCTCATTGAGGCCAATGGTGAAAAAGTGAATATCCAAGAATAAAAACTAGAAGGAACCTATCTGAGAAACCACTTTGTGATGTGTGCATTCCTCTTGCAGAGTTCAAACTTTCTTTTCATTCCAAAATTTGGAAATGCTCTTTTGGCAGAATCTGCAAAAGCATATTTGGGAGGGCATTGAGTCCTATGGATAAAAATTAAATAACTTCAGATGAAAATTAGAAAGAAGCTTTATGAGAAACTGCTTTGTGATGGGTGCATCCATCCCACAGAGGTAAACCTTTCTTTGGATTCAGCTGTTTGGAAACTGTTTTCATGCATTCTGTGAATAGATATTTGGGAGCTAGTTGAGACCAATGGTGAAAATGTGAATATCCCAGGATAAAAACTAGAAGGAAGCTATCTGAGAAACAGCTTTGTGATATGTGCATTCATCTCACAGAATGAAAACTTTCTTTCCATTCAGCAGTTTGGAAATGCTGTTTTGGTATTATCTGCGAAGGCATATTTGGGAGTGCGTTGAGGCCTATGATGAAAAAGGAAATATCTTCAGATGAAAACTACAAAGAATCTTTCTGACAAACTGCTTTGTGGTGTGTGCATTCATGTCACAGAGATAAATCTTTTTTGTGTGTTCGGTTGTTTGGAAACATTGTTTTTGTAGAATCTGCAAAGGGATATTTGGGAGCCCTTTGAGGCCAAAGGTGCAAAAGGGATTATCCCTGGATAGAAACTAGAAGGATGCTATCTGAGAAACCGCTTTGCATTGTGTGTATTCATGTCACAGATTTAAACCTTTCTTTTCAGTCAGCAGTTAGGAAGCACTGTTTTTGTAGAATCTGTGAAGGGATATTTTGGATCGCATTGAGGCCAGTGGTGAAAATGTAAATATCTTCAGATAATAACTAGAAAGAAATTTTCTGAGAAACTGCTTTGTGATGCGTGCATTAGTCAAACAGAGTTAAAACTTTCTTTGGATTCAGCAGTTGGGAAACACTGTTTTTATACATTCTGTGAATGAACATTTTGGAGGTCATCTAGGCCAATGGCTAAAAAGGGAATATCCCAGGATAAAAACTAGAAGAAACATATGAGATAAACGGCTTTGTGATGTGTGCATTCACCTCACAGATTCAAACCTTTCTTTTCTTTCAGCAATTTGGAAACACTATTTTGGTAGAATCTGTGAAGGGATGTTTTGGAGTGCATTGAGGCCTAGGGACAAAAAGTTAATATCTCCAGATAAAAAGTAAAAAGAAGCTTTCTGAGAAACTTCTTTTTGATGTGTGCATTCATCTCACAGAGTTAAACATTTCCTTGGATTCAGCAGTTTGGAATCAATGTTTTTCTCCCTTCTACGAATGTATATTTTGGAGCTCATTGAGATCAAAGGTGAAAAAGCAAATATCCAAGGATTAAAACTAGAAGAAAACTATCTGAGAAACCACTTTGTGATGAGTGCATTCATCTCACACAGAAAAACTTTTCTTTTCCTTCAGCCATTTGGAAAATCTGTTTTTTTTAGAATCTGTGAAGGGATATTGGGGAGCACATTGAGGCTTATAGAAAAATAGATAATATCTTCAGATAAAAACAAGAAAGAAGCTTTCTGAGAAACTGCTTTGTGATGTGTGCATTCATCTCAGAGAGGTAAACCTTCCTTTGGATTCAGCAGCTTGGAATCAATGTTTTTGTAGAATCTGCAAATGGATATTAGATCATTGAGGTGTTAGGCAAAAATACGAATATCCCAGGATAAAAACTAGAAGGAAGCTATCTGAAAAACTGCTTTGTGATGTGTGCATTCATCTCGTGGAGTTAAAAGTTTCTTTTCATTCAACAGTTTGGAAACTCTTTTTTTGTAGAATATGCAAAGGGATATTTGGGAGCTCATGGAGGCCTAAGAGAAAAATGTAATATCTTCAGATAAAAACTCAAAAGAAGCTTTCTGAGAGACTGCTTTGTCGTGTGTACATTCATGTCACAGATTTAAAACTTTCTTTGGATTCAGCAGTTTCTAAACACTGGTTTTGTCTATTCTGTGAGTGGACATTTGGGAACTGATTGAGGCCAATCACGAAAAAGCAAATATCCCAGGATAAAAACTAGAAAGAAGCTATCTGTATGAAAAAGACGACTTTAATTCTTTGAGGTGAATGCATACATCCCAAAGCAGTTTCTCAGATACCTTCCTCCTTTTTTTAACCTGGGATATTCACTTTTTCACCTTTGGCCTCAATGATCTCCCAAATATCCCTTTGCAGTTTATTCCAAAACAGTGTTTACAAACTACTGAATCCAAAGAGAGGATTAACTCTGTGAGAAGAATGCACACATCACAGAGGAATTTCTCAGACAAATTCTGTCTAATTTTTACCGTGAGATATTTGCTTTTTTGCCATTGGACTCAATGAGCTCCAAAATATCCCTTCTCATACTCTACCAAAACAGTGTTTTCAAACTGCTGAATCCAGAAAAGTGGTTAAGACTGTGAGATGAATGCACACATCACAAAGCAGTTTCTCATACAGCTTCCTTCTAGCTTTTATAGTGGGATATTCACTTTTTCCCCTTTGGCCTCAGTGAGCTCCGAAATATCCCTTCACAGATTATACAAAAACAGTGTTTCCAAAGTGCTAAATGAAAAGAACAGTTTAACTCTGTGAGGTGAATGCACACACCACAAAGCTTTTTCTCAGGTAGTTTCCTTGTAGTTTTTATCCTGTGATATTCCTTTTTTTGACTATGGCCCCAATGAGCTATCAAATATCCCTTCATAGGTTCTCAAAAAACAGTGTTTCCAAATTGCTGAATGAAAAGAAAGGTTTAATTCTGTGAGATGAATGCACAGATCTCAATGCAGATTCTCAGAAAGGTTCTTTCTAGTTCTTATCCGAAGGTATTTCCTTTTTCACCATAGGCCTCAATGGGCTCCCAAATATCCTTTCGTGAATTATACCAAAACTGTGTTTACAAAATGCTGAATGAATAAAAAGTTTTTACTCTGAAAGATGAATGCATACATCACAAAGTGGTTTTTCAGATATCTTTCTTATAGTTTTTATCCCGGATATTAACATTTTCCTTACTGGCCTCAAAGACCTCCCAAATGTCCATTCACAGAAAGACAAAAACAGTGTTTTCAAATTGCTCTATCCAAAGAAAAGTTTACCTCAGTGAGGTGAGTGCTTTCATCACAAACATTTCCTCAGAAAGCTTCTTTCTATTTGTTATCTGAAGATATTTTCTTTTTCACCATATGCTTTAAAGCCTTCCCAAATATCCCATAGCAGATATTACAAAAACAGTGTTTCCAAACTGCTGAATCCAAAAAAAGGTTTACTGTGAGAGATGAATGCACACATCACAAAGCAGTTTCTCAGAAAGCTTCTTTCTAGTTTTTATCTGAAGATATTTATTTTTTCACCGTAGGCCTCAATTCACTCCCAAATATCCCTTCACAGATTATACCAAAAGAGTGTTTCCAAACTGCTTAATGAAAAGAAAGTTTTAACTCTGTTATATGAATGCACACATCACAAGCACTTTATCAGAAAGCTTCTTTCCAGTTTTTATCTGAAGACGTTTTGTTTTTCACTGCAGTCCTCAAAGCACTCCCAAATATCCCATAGCAGATACTACAAAAACAGTGTTTCCAAACTGTTGAATGAAAAAGGTTTAACTCGTGATTTGAATGAACACATCGCAAAGTAGTTTATCAGATAAATTCCTTCTAATTTTCATCCTGGGATATTCACAGTTTCACAACTGGCCTCAATGACTTCCAAAATTTTCCATTTGCAGAGTGGAAAAAACAGTGTTTCCACACTGCTGAATCCAATAATGGTTTAAATCTGTGAGATGAATGCTCACATCACAAAGCAGTTTTTCAGAAAGTTTCTTTCTAATTTTTATTTTAAGATATTTCCTTTTTCACTGTAGGCCTCTATGAGCTCTGAAATATCCCTTTGCAGATTCTACAATAACAGTGTTTAAAACTGCTGAATGAAAAGAAAGGTTAGACTTTGTGAGATGAATGCACACATCACAGAGTGGTTTCTGAGATAACTTTCTTCTAGTTTTTATCTTGGATATTTGTTTTTTCACCTATGGCCTCAATGAGCTGTCTAATATCCCTTTGCAGATTCTACCAAAACAGCCTTCCCAAACTGATTAATCCTAAGAAGCATTTAACTCTGTGAGACAAATGCACACGTCACAAAGCAGTTTCTGAGAAAACTTCTTTCCAGTTTTTATCTGAAGATATTTCCTTTTTCATCATAGGCCTCAATGCATCACCAATATCCCTTTGCAGAATCTACCAAAGCTGGTTTTCCAAAATTCTGAATGAAAATAAATTTTTATATCTGCAAGATGAATGCACACATCACAAAGCAGTTTCTCAGATAGCATCCTTCGGGTTTTTATCAAGGGATATTCCCTTTTTCACCTTTGGCCTCAATGAGCTCTCAAATATCCCTTCACAGATTCTGTAAAAACAGTGTTACAAAATTACTGAATCCAAAGACAGTTTTAACTCTGTGAGATGAGTGCACACATCACAAAGCAGTTTCTCAGAAAGCTTTTTTTCTAGTTTTGATCTAATGATATTTCCTTTTTCACCATACCCCTTCAATGCACTCCCAAATGTCCCTTCATAGATTCTACCAAAACAGTGTTTCCAAACTGCTGATTGAAAAGGAAGGTTTACCTCTGCCAGATAAATTCGCACATCATAAAGCATTTTCTCAGATAGCTTGCTTCATATTTTTATCCTGGAATATATGCTTTTTTGCCATTGACCTCAATGAGGTCCCAAATATCCATTTGCAGAATGGACAGAAACAGTGTTTCTAAACTGCTGAAGTCAAAGCAAGCTTTAACTCAGTGAGATGAATGCACACATCACAAACAGGTTTCTCAGATAGCTTCCTTCTAGTTTTTATCCTGGGATATTCACAATTTCACAATTGGTGTCAATGAGCGCAAAATTGTCCTTTCACAAAATGGAAAAAAAATTGTGTTTCCAAACTGCCAAACCCAAAAAAAGGTTTAACTGTGAGATGAATGCACACATCACAAAGTAGTTTCTCAGTGAAATTCTTTCTACTTTTTATGTGAATATATTTAGTTTTTCAGCATAGCCCCAACATGCTCCCAAATATCCCTTCCCAGATTCCACTAAATCAGTGTTTTCAAATTGCTGAATGAAAAGAAAGTTTAACTCTGCAAATGAATAAACATGTCACAAAGCAGTTTTTCATATAGCTTCCTTCTAGTTTTTATCCTGGGATATTAGGTTTTTCACCATTGACCTAAACAAGCTCCCAAACATCCATTTGCAGAATGGACAGAAACAGTGGTCCCAAACTGCTGAATCTAAAGAAAGGTTTAAGTCTGTGAGATGAATGCACACATCACAAATCAGTTTCTCAGAAAGCTTCTTTTTAGTTTTATGTGAAGATATATCCTTTTTCATAAAAGGCCTCAATGCGCTTCCATATATCTTTTTGCAGATTCTACAAAAATTGTGTTTCCAAACTGCTTAAGTAAAAAGAAAGGTTTAACTCTCTGAGATGAATGAAACACACCACAGAGAGTTTTCTCTGATAGTTTCTTTCTAGTTTTAATCCTGGGATATTAGCTTTTTCACCTATGGCCTCAATGAACTATTCAATATCCTTTGGCAGATTCTACGAAAACAGCATTTCTAACTGGTGAATCCAAGGAAAGTTTAACTCTGTGAGATGAATGCACACATCGCAAAACAGTGTCTCTCAAAGATTCTTTCTGGTTTTTAGCTGAAAATGTTTCCTTTTTCAGCATAGGCCTCAATGCATTCCCAAATATCACTTCACAGATACTACAAAAACAGTGTTTCCAAATAGCTGAAAGAAAAGAAAAGTTTATGTCGAGATGAGTGCACCCATCACAAATGCAGTTTCTCAGATAACTTCCTTCTAGTTTGTAATTCAATTATATTCACTTTTTTGCCTTTCACCTCAATTAGCTCCCAAATATCCCTTTGCAGATTCTACAAAACCAGTGTTTCCAAATGGATGAATCCAAAGAAAGTTTTAACTCTCTGATATGTATGCACACATCACAAAGCAGTTTCTCAGAAAGCTTTTTTCTACTTTTCATCTGAAGATATTTCCTTTTCCACCATAGGACTCAATGCCCTCCCAAATATCCCTTCACAGATTGTACCAAAACAGTGTTTCCAATCTGCTGAATGAAAAAAAAAGGTTTAACTCTGTGAGATGAATGCACTGAACACAATGCGCTTTCTCTGATCATTTTCTTCTTGTTTTTATCCTAGGATATTCCCATTTTTGCCTCTGGCTTCAATGAGCTCCCAAATTTCCATTTGCAGAATGGACAAAAACAGTATTTCCAAACTGTTGAATCCAAAGAAAGTTTTAACTCTGTGAGATGAATGCACACATCACTAAGCAGTTTCTCAGAATGCTTTTTTCTAGTATTTATCTGAAGATATTTCCTTTTTCACCACATGCCTCAATGCACTCCCAAATATCCCTTCACACATTCTACTAAAACGTGTTTCCAAACTGCTGAATGAAGAGCAAGGTTTAACTCAGTGAGATGAATGCACACAACACAGAGTGGTTTCTCAGATAGCTTCTTCTGGTTTTTATCCTTGGATATTTACTTTCTCACCTATGGCCTCAATGAGCTATCTAATATCCCTTCGTAGATTCTACAAAAACATTGTTCCCAAACTGGTGAATCCTAAGAAACATTTACCTCTCTGAGACAAATGCACCCATTTCAAAGCAATTTCTCAGAAATCTTCTTTCAAGTTTTTATCTGAAGTTATTTCCTTTTTCACTATAGGCCTCAGTGCATTCCAAATATCCCTTCGCAGGTTCTACAAAAACAGTTTTTTCCAAAATGCTTAATGAAAATAAAGGTTTATATCTGCCCGATGAATGAACACATCACAAAGCAGTTTCTCAGATAGCACCCTTCAAGTTTTTATCCAGAGATACTGGCTTTTTCACCTTTGGCCTCAATGAGTTCCAAATATCCCCTTGCAGATTCTACAAAAACAGTTAAAAAATTACTAAATCCAAAGAAATGTTTATCTCTGTGAGATGAATGCACACATGACAAAGCAGTTTCTCAGAAAGCTTTATTTTTTAGTTTTAATTTGAAGATATTTCCTTTTTCACCCTAACCCTCAATGCACTCCAAAATATCCCTTTGCAGATTCTACCAAAACAGTGTTTCAAAACTGATGAATGAAAAGAAAGGTTTAACTCTGTGAAATGAGTTCACAAATCACAAAGCATTTTCTCAGATAGCTTGCTTCTTGTTTCTATCCTTAGATATACACTTTTTCACCATTGACCTCAAATAGGTCCCAAATGTTCATTCGCAGAATGGACAAAAACAGTGTCTCTAAACTGCTGAATTCAAAGAAAGATTTAACTCTGTGAAATGAAGGCACACATCACAAAGCAGTTTCTCAGAAAGCTTCTTTCTTGTTTATATATGAAGATATTTCCTTTTTGACCATAGTCTTCAATGCACTCACAAATATCCCATCACTGTTTTTCTATGAAAACAGTGTTTCCAAATTGCTGAATGAAAAGAAAGGTTTAATTCTGTGAGTTGAATGTGTACATCACAAAGCGATTCTCAGAAACCTTTCTTCCAGTTTTTATCCTGGGATATTCTCTTTCTTGCCATTAGCCTCAATGAGCTCCCCAATGTCCATTCAGAAAATGGACAAAAACAGTGCTTTCAAACTGCTGAATCCAAAGAAAGGTTTAACTCTGTGCAATGAATGCCCACATCACAAAGCAGTTTCTCAGAAAGCTTCTTTCTAGTTTTTTTCTGAAGATATTTCCTTTTTCACCATAGGCCTCAAAGCACTCTGAAATATCCATTTGCAGATTCTACCAAAACCCTGTTTCCAAACTGCTGAATGAAAAGAAAGGTTTAAGTCTTCACGATGAATGCACACATCACAAAATTGTTTCCCAGATAGCTTCATTCTAGTTTTTATCCTGAGATATTTGCTTTTTCACCTACGGCCTTAATGCACTATTTTATATGCCTTTGAAGATTATACTAAAACAGTGTTTCCAACCTGCTGAATGCAAAGGAACCTTTAACTCTGAGATGAATGCACACATCACAAAGCAGTTTCTCAGAAAGGTTATTTCTCGTTTTTATCTGTATATATTTCCTTTTTCACCATAGGACTCAATGTGCTCCCATGTATCACTTCATGGATTCTAGCAAAACAGTGTTTCCAAACTGCTGAATGAAAAGAAATGTTCAACTCTGTGAGATGAATGCACACATCATTAAGCAGTTTCTCAGATAGCTTCCTTGTGCTTTTATCCTGGGATATTCACTTTTTCACCATTGGCCTCAATGAGCTCCCAAATGTCCATTCGCTGAATGTACAAAAACCGTGTTAACAAAGTGCTGAATACAAAGAATGGTTTAACTCTGCAAGGTGAATGAACACAACACAAAGCAGTTTCTCAGAAACCTTCTTTCTAGTTTTTATCTGAATATATTTCCTGTTCACCATAGACCTCAATATCCTCCGAAATATCTCTTCACAGATTCTACAAAAACAGTGTTTCCAAACTGCTGAATATAAATAAAGGTTTAACTCTGTGAGATGAATGCACACATTAGAAAGTGGTTTCTCAGATAGCTTCCTTGTAGTTTTCATCCTGGGGTATTTCCTTTTTTGCCATCAGCTTCAATGAGCTCCTAAATGTCCATTCACAGAATGGACAAAAAGAGTTATTCAAATTGCTGAATCCAAAGAAAGTTTTAACTCTGTGAGACAAATGCACACATCACAAATCAGTTTGTCAGAAAATTTCTTTCTATTTTTTATGTGAAGATATTTCCTGTTTCACCATAGGCCTCAATAGGCTGTCAAATATCCCTTTGCAGATTCTACCAAATAGTGTTTCAAAACTGCTGAATGAAAATAAAAGTTTAACTCTGTGACATGAATGAGCACATCACAAGTCAGTTTCTCAGAGAGCTTCCTTCTTGTTTTCATTCTGGGATATTCCTTTTTTCCCCTATAGCCCCAATGAGATCCCAAATAGCCCTGTGCAGATTGCATGAAAACAGTGTTCATAAACTGCTTAATCCAAAGAAAGGTTTAACTCTGTTCAATAAATGCACACATCACCAAGCAGTTTCTCAGAAAGTTTCTTTATAGCTTTTATGTGAGAATATATTCTTTTTCACCACTAGCCTTAATGTGCTCCCAAATATCCCTTCCCAGATTTTACCAAAATAGTGTTTCCACTCTGCTGAATGAAAAGAAAGTTTTAACCCTGTGAGATGAATGCACACAGCACAAAGTGATTTCTCAGAGAGCTTTCTTCTAATTTTTAACGTGGGATATTGGCTTTTCCCCTTTGGCCTCAAGGACCTCCCAAATATCGAATCACAGAATGGAAAAAACAGTGTTTCCAAAGTGCTGAATCCAAAGAAAGGTTTTACGCTGTGAGACGAATGCACACATCACAAAGCAGTTTCTCAGAAAGTTTCTTTCGAGTTTGAATCTGAACATATTTCCTTTTTCACCACAGGTGAAAATGCGCTCCCAAATATCACTTCACTGATTCTACAAAAACAGTGTTTCCAAACTGCTGAATCCAAAGAACTTTTTACCTCTGCAAAATGAACTCAGACATCACAAAGCAGTTTCTCAGATAGCTTCCTTCTAGTGCTTATCTTGGGATAATCACATTTTTGCCACTGGCCTCAATGAGCTCCCAAATGTTCTTTCACAGAATTGACAAAAACAGTATTTCCAAACTGCTGAATCCAAAGAAAGGTTGAACCCTTTGAAATGAATGCACACATCACAAAGCAGTTTATCTGAAAGATTCTTTCTAATTTTTATCTGAATATATTTCCTTTTTCACCACAGGCCTCAAAGCGTTCCCAAATATCCCTTCACAGACCCTACAAAAACAGCTTTTTCAAGCTGCTGAATGAAAGGAAAGTTTTAACTCTGCGAGATGAATGCACAAATTACCAAGCACTTTCTCAGATACTTTCCATCTCATTTTATCCTGGGATGTTTGCTTTTTAGCCTATGGTCTCAAAGCACTATCAAATATCCCTTTGCACGTTCTACAAAAACAGTGTTTGCAAACTGCTGAATCCAAAGAAAGGTTGAACTCTGTGAGATGAATGCACACATCACAAAGATGTTTCTCATAAATCTTCTTTCTGGTTTTCATCTAAAGCTATTTGCTTTTTCACCATAGGAGTCAGTGCTTTAAGAAACATCCCTTCAAAAACTCTACCAAAAAAATGTTTCTGAATGCTGAATGCAAAGGAAAGTTTAACACTGTGAGATTAATGCATACATCACAAGGCGGTTTTTCAGGTAACTTCCTTCTTCTAGTTTTTATCTTGGGGTATTAGCTTTTTCTTCTATGGCCTCAATGGGCTATCAAATACTCCTTCACAGATTCTCAAAAAAGTGTTTCCATATTGTCGAATCTAAAGAAACTTTTATTTCTGTGAGACGAATGCACACATCACAAAGCAGTTTCTCAGAAAGTTTTTTTCTATTTTTCTCTCAAGATATTTCCTTTTTCATCATAGTCCTCCATGCGCTCCCAAATATCCCTTCACAAATTCTACCATAACAGTGTTTCCAAACTTCTGAATGAAAAGAAAGTCTTAACTCTGTGAGACAAATGCACACATCACAAAGCAGTTTCTCAGAAAGCTGCTTTCTAGCTTTTATCTGAAGATATTAACTTTTTCACCATAGGCCTCAATGTACTCCCAAATATCCATTTGCAATTCTACCAAATCAATGTTTTGAAACTGCTGAATGAAAAGAATGCATTTTCTCTGCTAGATGAACTCACACATCACAAAGCAGTTTCTCAGATAACTTCCTTCTAGTTTTCATCCTCTGATAGTCACTTTTTGGCCTTTGGCCTGAATGAGCTACCAAATATTCCTTAGCAGATTCAACAAAAAGTGTTTCCAAACTACTGAGTCTGAAGAAAGTTTTATCTCTGTGAGATTAATGCAATAATCACAAAGCAGTTTCTCAGAAAACTTCTTTCTAGTTTGTAATCTGAAGATATTCCCTTTTTCACCATAGGCCCCAATGCCCTCCTTAATATGTCTTCACAGATTCTACAAAAACAGTTTTTCCCAACTACTGAGTCCAAACAAAGATTTAACTTTGTGGCTTCAATGCACACATCACAAAGCAGGCTTTCAGAAATCTTCTTTCTTGTTTTTATCTGAAGATATTTCCTTTTTCACCAGGCTCGTCAATGTACTCCCAAATATCCCTACGCAGATTCTACAAAAGCAGTGTTTCTAAACTGCTGAATGTAAAGAAAGGTTTAAATCTGTGAGGTGAATGCACACATTAGAAAGTGGTTTCT